>NC_000013.11:76892954-77044469 GCF_000001405.40 Homo sapiens | reverse complement strand
TATATATATATTCGTAGGTAAATATATTCATACCAAAGACAGAAGAAAGCATTTAGGAAATTAACTTCTATTTTAACTAGCAGCATTTTTAACTTTATTTATTTATTTATGAGACAGGGTCTTACACTGTCACCCAGGCTGGAGTACAGCGGCGTGATCTCAGCTCACTGCAGCCTCCAACTGGGCTCAAGCGATCCTCCAGCCTCAGCCCCCTGAGTAGTTGGGACTACAGGCATGCACCAGCACCATGCCCAGCTAATTTTGTAATTTTTGTAGAGATGGGGTTTTGCCATGTTGCCGAGGCTGGTCTCAAACTCCTAGACTCAAGCAATCCCCACTGCTTTGGCCTCCCAAAGTGCTAGGATTACAGGCGTGAGCCATTGCACCCAGCCCCTTTTTGAAGTTCATATAAAGTAATAAAATCACTAATTTTTTATTCATTTTCTATAGACAACGGTGTGTTTAGGTACATCTTTTTGACACTCGAGTCATGAAATTGCCAAATTATTGATTGTTGACTCATCATACATCAGATTAGCAAAACTTTTGTTGTTGTTGTTGTATTTGAGACAGTCTCACTCTGCTGCCCACACTGGAGTGCAGTGGCACCATCTTGGCTCACTGCAACCTCCACCTCCCAGGTTCAAGCGATTCTCCTGCCTCAGCCTCCCAAGGAGCTGGGACTACAGGCGTGTGCCACCTCACCCAGCTAATTTTTGTATTTTTAGTAGGGATGGGGTTTCACCAGGCTGGTCTTGAACTCCTGACCTCAGGTGATCCGCTCGCCTCCGGCCTCCCAAAATTCCGGTATTACAGGCGTGAGCCACCGCGCCTGGCCAAGACTAGCAAAAGTTTTAATCACATTTTGTTCTAAATTCCAACTGTGGGAAATATAGAACTTAATTTGTCAATATAGAATTACTGACAAATTTAATGACATTTGTGTTAAGCATTTATGAGAAATTTAAAACAATCTTTGCCTTGAAGGAACTTAAAAAATAAAGATCAGATCTGAGCACAGGTAACTATTTTACAGAATGTTCTAATAAGTTTCATAAAAATATCCAAGCCAAATGCTTCAGGATTTAGGAAAAATCATTATTGTTTTGTCGTTGGGAGTGTAGCTAAGAGGCCATTTAAGCTGCCTTTTGAAGAATAAGTAGCATTTCAAGGAGCAGAGATGTGGAGAAAGGCATGAGAAATACCTAAGTAGGAAAATCTAGAATATGATCAAAGAACAGTAAGTATGAGTGTTCAAGCTTAGGATTGACTGAAAATGTTTCCAGAAAACACAAAGTACGTAGAGAGACTAAAGCTGTTACAAGAAAACTGGAGGGGAGAATGCAGTGAGGACACTGTCAGTATATTTGACTTGACACTGTCAGTATATTTGACTTAAATTCACAGGCCACAGGAATGAAACTAACCTTGAGAATGCCACACAGATAAGAGACTTTATGGACACTTAATAGCTGCGAAGAATACCATCTTGCGTCAGTTAACTTTGCTGGCAAACTGGTCAGCTCAGTTTGTAAATCGTAGAGGAAAAGAAACAAACTATTGAGATGGCTTGGCTAAAAAAGCCATCTCAAGTTATGAAAGGGATAAAATCAACAAAGCTGTGTAGTGAATACTCACAATGACTTCAACTTATCTTCATTTATGAGGAAGTCACTTTTAGTCAGGATCTCTAGCACCTCAAAACCAGAGAACATAAACATCTTAGCAATAAATTATGACAAAGCACAGGAAGGAGTGGCTTTGGCAGGCATTTTTAGCTCAAGCATCCTACACACAAGGACCATCCTTCAAACACTGCATGTAACATCCAAGGCAGGAGACAGAAAGCAGAATCACAGTGGTAGATGTCAGTGAATCTTCCTGGAAAGAAATTGTTTTTCCGTTATATTTTCAAGCCTAGGAAAAGCCATTTTTCTTAGTATTATGGCTAGACTGTTTAGGCCTAAAATCTCCCTATTTTATCAATAAGCTTATTTGGTTTTGGTTTTTGGTTTTTTGAGTTTTTTGGGTTTTTTTTTTTTTTTTTAAGAAAGGGTCTCACTCTGTCGCCCCAGCTGGAGTGCAGTGGCGTTATCTCGGCTCGCAGCAACCTCTGCCTTTTGGGCTCAAGTGATCCTCCCACCTCAGCCCCAAGTAGCTGGGAGTACAGGCACGAGCCACCATGCCCAGCTAATTTTTGTAATTGAAACAGGGTTTCACCATGTTGGCCAGGCTGGTCTCAAACTCCTGAGCTGAAGCGATCTACCTGCCTCAGCTAGGATTACAGGTGTGAGCCACCGCACCCAACCTCAATAAGCTTATTTGATAAAATATATGCAATGCTCCCTTTATTCACTTTTCATTCAGAATGTTTAGTAATTTGTATTGTTTTTCAGATTTTCAGCCCAATATATCTCCCTGCCCACTGTGTCACTGTATTCTACCTATACATCATCACGTGTTTCTGCTATTGGCTGTATGATGGAACACTGCGGCTCATTTTCCTGAAAACTGCCGATAGTGCATAGAGTGCTGGGATGGAAACCAGAAGCTTTGAATTCAAGCCTTGGTTCTGCCTTGTTTTTGCTTGGGTGGCCTTGAGTCAGCCACATACCTTTTAAAATCTCAATTTATTAGAAATTATTCCAAATCAAAATCAAATGAGAAGGTATATACAAAAGTGCTTTATCCCACAATAAACTATTCAAGAGAGAGCAAAGGAGAGGACATTTACTCAACACCTCCTAAAAGGCAGCCAGTGAAATTAGGCATTTTATTTAATCCTCCTGGCAACTCTGAGAGTAAAGCATTATTAATCCCATTTTGGCTGTTTAAAGAAATTATTTGCACTAGATTCCAGCTGTAGTTTAGCTTCAGAAAAAAAAATCCTGAGATGTGAATTCACAGCTTTCTGGGTTTAAAGCCCAAGCTCTATCACATCATGCTATTATTGTTACATTACTGCTAGTTCTATGAAAAGAAATACTAATTTATGAAATACATCTTATCCAAAATGGTTGGGACCAGAAGTGTTTCTGATTTCGGGTTTTTTCAGGTTTGGGAATATTTGCATTACCAGTTGAGCATCCCAAATCTGAAATCCAAAATGCTCCAGTGAGCATTTTATTTGGGTATCAGGCATGTCAGTACTCAAAGTTTTAAATTTCAGGACACTTATCGTATGGCCAAGGTTGCACAGGGGACAAGACAGCATATGCCTCCAAGAGTGTTCAGTGTCGTCAGGAGGTACCTCCACCCAGATTTCCCTTCAGGGGAGGCCCCACCTCAAGGAGTCCAGTTAGCTGACAGCCTCCAGCTTTAATCACCCCCACATATGACCCAATGTCACACTCCTCCAGGGCAGCCCCAGCCTGTGATAGAGTTCAGATGGGGTTCTCGGGCCTGGCCATTTCTGCCCAAGCGGCACTCCTGCGTGCGCGGTCTTGCGTAAGAACTCAGGCCGACTGAGACTGTCTTACAGCTGCCCTGCAGTCGGAGGCTTTTCCTACCCAATCTTTCCTTCTCTCTTCTTTCCTAGATGCCAGACCTGCATCACAGTCTAATGGCTCTCCCTGCCCACTCCTGCTCCCTCATCACTTTATCTTTCATAGGGATTACCCCCAACAGATTTTCTGCACTTCTAACTTAATCTTGGCATCTGCTTCCTAGAGGACCTGCCTGACACAGGAGGGTAATACATTTTAAATGACTTACTTATGGCTTCATTTCTCAAATGTCTTAGGGTGGCTTAGAAAAAAATAACAAGACTACAAAAAGATATACGCTGGAGGGAGTTACAGTGAAGAAAAATTATGAAAGAAAAAGCCAAGGTTAAAGATTAGTGTCTCGCTGTAACCATACAATGTTATCAAATTGCTCAAGAAAAGGCCATCAATTTTACAGTAAGTTTCTCCAGTAACAAGCAAGGTCAGAGATATCTTCATTTAAAACATACAATGTTCATCTGTTAATTTAAAAAAAAAAAGCCAACGCAGATAGTCTTTCAGGATAGATCAGTTTTGACAAGCAAAAGTGGGAAAGGGCATTCCAGGGAGAGATGATGGTGAGAACTGAGGCATTAACGTGTTCCTCAGAAGCACCAGGTAAGCTGTTTTGCTTCGTTAATTTAATAAATATTTGAACACCTGGTCTAGGTCCACACTTGACAGTACACTCTCATGAGGGTGTTTAGTAACCACGACTTCTACAGAGAAGGCGCTTGATGAATGAACTGCATGAGAGTCTGTCAAGATGTGTGGCGCGCTCTGCCAGGTGGTAGGATGAGACAGCCATGGAACACAAATACAGAATCCTGCAAATAATTCAATGTTATTAAGGACCTTAATCCAGGTTTTATAACCATTAGACAAAGCATTTATTGAGGGCTTACCGTGGCCCTGCACAGTCATGGCAGGCAGAATAACCATCCCCCCAAATCTGTCCACGTCTTAGCCCTTGGGATGTGAAGATGTTGCCTTACATGGCAAATGGACTCTGCAGATGCGATTAACGGTACAGATCTTGTGATGGGAAGAGTACACTGGATTGACCCCATGGGCCCATGTAATCACAAGAGTTCTAATATGGGAAAGAGAGGCAAGAGGGTCACGGTCAGAGAAGGAGATGTGAGGATAGACGCAGAGGCCAGAGATAGAGACTTGAAGATGCTACACTGTCGGCTTTGAAGATGGAGGAAGGGGCCAGGCACCAAGGAATGCAGGTGGCCTCTGGGAGCTGGCAAAGGTGAACACAGGTTCTCCCCTGGAGGCTCCACAGGGAATGTACACTCTGCTGTTAGTACATTTCAAAATTCTGATCTCCAGAACTACACAATCATAAATGTGTTGTTTTAAGCCACCGGGTCTGTGGCGATTTGTTACAGCAGCAACAGGAAAGGAATACAATGGGCTTCACAAGCATCATGATGTGTTCATCTTCCACAAACCTACAAAATATTATCCAAAATATTATCAGATGAGGCCACTGAGTCTCACCAAGAAAAAGAATGGAAAGTATTTCAATACTTTTTTATGTTGATTACACAGAGAATATTTTGGCTATACTGGGTTAAATAAAATAAATTATTAAAATTCATTCCAGCTGTTCCTTTTTTTAGTGGCTTCTAGAAAAATGTAAAATACATATGTGGCTTGCACGCATTTGTAATGAACAGTGCTGGTCTAGAATCTCATTCTCAACAGTTTGATTTTATCATCCATCATTGGAATTTTTTTTTTAGCAAGAGGTATGCACGAATGTGTGCTCTAGGAAGATGAGGCAGGAAGCAGGCCAGAAGGTGGCTTGAAAAACACCACCACTGGATAAGACAGTTGGGAAGTTATGGCTGTAATCTTGGAAAGAGTTGATAAAGGCTATAATCAAGAGTCACAAAACACACTTCCTTCCTTTGAAGAGTTTACAATCGAATCCTAGATAGAGTTAACACACAAAGAGGTGGCTTACAACGAAAAGGGTTTAGTTAAGCTGACTTGCAGAGCACATACAGTATGATTCCATTTACATAAAGTTATAAAAACAGGCAAAAAAACGAATGTATGGTGATAGAATTCAGAATAGTGGTTACCTTTGAGAGGGCATTGACTAGGACGGCGCATGAGGGAGCACTGGGTTACCGGAGTATTTTCTGTCTTAATCAGGATGGTGGTTACCCAGGCACAGTGTAGCAGTCCACCACACCGTACACTTAAGATTTGTGTACTTCACCGTTTATATATTATACCTCGGCAGGGCATGGTGGCTCACACCTGTAATCCCAGCACTTTGGGAGGCTGAGGCAGGCAGATCACCTGAGGTCAGGAGTTCAAGACCAGCCTGGCCAACATGGTGAAACCCTGTCTCTACTAAAAATACAAAAAATTAGCTGGGCGTGGTGGCAGGCACCTGTAATCCCAGCTACTTGGGAGGCTGAGGCAGGAGAATTGCTGGAACCTGGCAGGCAGAGGTTGCGGTAAGCCGAGATCATGCCATTGCACTCCAGCCTGGGCACCAAGAGCGATACTTCATCTCAAAAAAATAAATAAATAAATTATACCTCAGCAAAAAGAAAAAATAATGTCATAGAAGATGACTTGGATACAGACCAGATTATACATTAGTTTATAATGGCAGGCCTAAGAATTTCCCTTCAACCTTGCAAAGACGGAAGCACAGAATGCTTTCGAACAACAGGAATAATTGCAATCAGCGCTTTATGAAGATGAACAACACTGACCAGCCTTCCAAGGCCCAGCAAATACATCAGTCACTTCCCTCAATTATTGAAGTGGGAACAAATGACTTGGTGTCTGGTGGCGAATAAAGGTAGTGTCAATACAAAACCTTTGATTTAATGGAGCACAGCATATAATACCAGAATGGTGAGTTCCTAGAAAGAGAAGAAATATGTTCCCAGTGCCTAGAAAGAGGATTTAGTAGGAGATTCACTGGCTTCACACACAGAGTGAGGGACCTCATGCAAAGGCCCAGAAGAGAAGGGGTCCAGTAATTCCCAAGTGCACTAATGGAAAAATGGGTCCAATATTGATGTCCCACTGCATGGGGCATGCATAAGAATGTGACCTGGACATTTTAACACAAAAAAGTACAATCTCATGGTTATATCCAAGATATTACATGAAAGAATCAAGCACCAAAAGACTCCAATTAGAAAGTGCACTTTGTCTCAAAGAGTCATATCTATCAGACAAGTAGAAGGGGCAGCATGAAACAATGCTGCAAGTGTGTATGGTGTTTAATTCCTAAATGTCCACATGGAGGATGTGAACAAGAAATAAGAAAATCTGATGGAATTGTAGAAGGTCAACTGGGGTCAATTAATGAGCTGTGTGAAAGTGCCCACCTGGAAAGAATAACTCCAGCTGAAGCTGAAGATGTCTGTATTAGTCTGTTCTCACACTGCTATAAAGAGCTACCTGAGACTGGGTAATTCATAAAGAAAAGAGGTTTAATCAGCTCATGTTTCTGTGGGCTGTGCAGGCTTCTGCTTCTAAGGAGGCCTCAGGAAACTTACAATCATAATGGAAGACAAAGGGGAAGCAAGGACATCTTCAATGGCCAGCAGGAGAAACAGACTGAGTGGGGTGGGAGAGGTAGGTGCTACACACTTTTAAACAACCTGGGGGAAATGGTGCTAAACCATTAGAAACCACCCCTGTGATACATACAGTATTCTTTCACCAGACCTCTCCTCCAACACTGGGGATTACAATTCAACATGAGATTTGGGCAGGAACACAAAACCAAACTTTGCCAATGTCCATGCCTTTTAGTAAGTAAACTGTGTGCAAGTGGACATTCAAAACCTACACACAACTTGGGGCCTGATCAAAAGTAATCATATCTGTGTCATTGTGAAGTAATATGGGGTACATTTGAAAAACAGGCAGCTAAAGAGATTTTTGCCCTTCTGGATTTAGTTTTAACCAACAAGAATGGAACTGATTGGCAAAGTGGACATGACAGGAGCTGAGGTCCTTAAACCTGAATGTCATATAGGAAAAATGCCACGTGCCTAAAAAGGGAGCATGGCTTAATATCATTTACTTTAAAGGCAAAAGTAAAGGCCAGGGGTAAAAATAACAAAGAAATCCCTTTTGGTTACACCTACAAAAAAATACTCTAATGAATCCCTGTGGAACAAATATCCTTGGCAATGAAACAAATATTATTGGTAACTAGTGAGCCCATCACAGGGGCTATTCAAACAGAGGCTAGGCTGATGGACATCTGTCAGGGATGCTGTGTTACAATGGCAGAATGAATGGGAAACCATCCTCTATTGGAAGGGAGTAGAGGTGGCAATCTGAAATTTTATAGAATCTTTTTTCTATCTGCAAGGCTAAATGAGAACTATTTGCAGCTGGTGTGCTGTTTCTTGACATGCATGCCAAGTCCAGAAAATAGTCAAGTGCATTTTAGTGCTTGCCTGGGTTACTGCTTTTCAAGGACAAAGCCAGTCCTGGCAAGAAAAACACTTTTCACATAGGCTGTTAGTGCCCCTTTGGTGGTGTTACTGCTGCTTAAGCCAGTGAGAGAGAAAACATTACAGCTCTTGCAGCTATGAAGGCCTAGAATTGAAACAGCCACTGCTGTCCTCACTTATCAAGTTAGGGCCAAAAATAATAGTGAGACAGGAGAATAGGGTCCGGAGGCAGGGAATCCAAGGCCAATTCAGGCTGACTTACTAGAACTAAATCAAAAGGAAACCCCCAACTTTCCACACCTAAGTAACAAAAGGAACAAAGGCTACTCCTTTTGCAACCCCCCTTTCTGCGTGGCAGATGAAAAATTGAAAGTACCTCTGATTGGTCCCCTCCCACAATCAATTAGGCTGGTCATGGGCCAAGTCCTCATTTGTATGGGAGTATATAACTTTGTAACTTCAGCCTCTGATTGGTCACTTTCCACAACCAATCAGACATTTGCATAAAGTGTAACTTTGTAACTTTGCTTCAGCCTCTGATTGGTCCCCTCCCACAACCAATCAGACTGATCACAGACCACTACTTCATTGACATAGGGTGTACACCAAGTAACCAATGGGAAACCTGTAGAGGGTATTTAAACCCCAGAAAATTATGTAACCGGGCTCTTCAGCCATTTGTTCAGGCCCACTCCCACTCTGTGGAGTGTACTTTTGTTTTCAATAAATCTCCACTTTTGTTGCTTCATTCTTTCCTTGCTTTGTGTGTTTTGTCCAATTGTTTGTTCAAGAAACCAAGAACCTGGACACTCTCCACTGGTAACAATAGCAACAATGATGTAGCTAGCATTTACTGGGGATTTACTGTGTGCCTGCTACTGACCTTTTTGTTCTATGGATGTTGACACCTTTAATTTTCACGATAACCCTATGTGGTATATATTATTATTATTCCATTTAATTTTATTTTATTATTTTAGAGATAGGGTCTCACTCTGTCACCCAGGCTGGAGTGCAGTGGCACTTTCTTAGCTCACTGCCACCTTGCACTCCTGTGCTCAAGCAATCCTCTCACCTCAGCCTCCCAAAGTGCTGGGATTAGAGGTGTTAGCCACTGTGAACAGCCTTATTCCCATTTTATAGATGAGGAAGCTGAAGCATGAAGAAGTAATCTGTGCAAGCTCGCGTATCCTGTAAATGGCAGAATGAGACCTGAGCTCCAACCCAATCCACATCTTCTCCATCCCACTCTAGAGCAGCTTTGACTGAGCAGTGGAGGCTTGAGGCTTTCAAATTTGCAAAGCCTGAGAAGAACCTGAAGCGACATCAGACTAAAGGACCTGAAAGAAGAGAGCTTCAGGAAAAAGAGGTCAGAGAGTGGGAAAGTACACATGGAGCATGCTCCTTATAAAACCCTAAGTCCATAAGGCCCTTGCCTTGTATGACTCAAAGGAATGACTCAATTCGGGTGAAAAGTTCTGTTCCTCCCCAACTTAACTGCTCTTTAGAGATGTATCAGCCCCTCAGGAAAGAACTGCATGCATCTTTCTTCTAGTGATGTCTTTAAGTTTGATTTCGTTCTAGGAAGTCGGCATAAATCGGTCTTAGGTTCCCTGCCTCCAGCCCCTGTGGTTGATCTGTCAACTTGGAAAACAGGAAATCTTTCAAAAGGGGCAGTAGTCATGCCCAGTGACTTTTCTGGGGCTCCATCCAAGACAGGGCCATCCACAGCCACCAGCACCCCTTTAGGACTAGGCAGAATCATCTTTGGTTAAAGGGCAGCTGTGGAGAGGATGCAAGGCCCCACTCCCGGACACAAGACACAGCAAGACCAAATTCCATGATCACCTTTCAGTGAAAAGCAACATAATTTGAGATCCAAGGAGCAGCCTTTCCAGATTAAGTTTGCAATGGTAAGGAGTTTTGATTGCAAGCAAAAGAAAACAAAGTCGAAATAACTTTGAAAAGCAAGAAAAAAATATGTGAGAGCTGAGCTACCTCTTCCAGGCTGTGGGAATAGAGCAGAACCAGGGCTGGAGGCTCTGGCACCATCTCTCCTCACGTTCCTCTCTATGCGTCTATTTTCTCTTCTTCTTTCTCAGTGCAGAGCACCTTTCTCTGCTTTGCAGACCATGTGGTAAAAAGATCACCTATAGCTCCTGGGTTGATGTGTTACAAGTCTAAGGACCCAAGGAACAGACTACTCTCTTTCTGCCGGTATTAATTCCAAATTCCCAGGGGAAAGACTGTCCCAGCTTGGATGGCCCCTGTTTCTATATGGAGGTTTACCATTCACTGTGGAACATAAGAAATTGGTGAATCACAAAAGAACAGGGTTCTTTGTATGATATGGGTCCTCTGACTCATAAACTAACTTATGACTGTGTTCTCTCATCATCTTCCCATTTGCCTCTTAAGAGTCTTCCCTCTTCTGTGACATCTAAGTCCCTATCTATTCCTCAGGACAGATTTATTTTGGGTTAAGTCCAGGTAACTACGCCATGTAATAAAACATAAGTCCTGTTTTGCCACATTCTTTCATCCTTGGAAGAAACATTTACAGACTGGTTTAGGAGCCTAGGATTGGTGAACCAAGCAGACTAAGATTCATGTTTTTGTTTTTTGGTTTTTTTTTTTTTTGAGATGGAGTCTTGCTCTGTTGCCCAGGCTGGAGTGCAGTGGCTCAATCTCAGCTCGGTGCAACTTCTGCCTCCCGGATTCAAGCAATTCTCCTGTCTCAGCCTCCTGAGTGGCTGGGATTACAGGTGCCCGCCACCACACTCAGCTAGTTTTTCTATTTTTAGTAGAGATGAGGTTTCTCCATGTTGGCCAGGCTCATCTTAAACCCCTGACCTCCGGTGATCCGCCCACCTCAGCCTCCCAAAGTGCTGGGATGACAGGCGTGAGCCACCACACCCGGCCAGATTCATGTTTTTGCCATTCTTATATTCCAGGTGGGAGATGGACACTAAACAACTGACATACAATACCTAACAAGCTAGGAAGTGATAAATGCCGTGGGAAAAGAAAAAGAGGAAAAAGAGGATCAGGCACGTTATTATCACTGTTTTGTTTTGGTTTTGTTTATTTCTTGGTTTTATTACACTGTTGGATTTGATTAATAAAGGTCAAATATCTCTTATCTGAACTTCTTGGAACTAGAAGTCTTTTGGATTTCAGATTTTTTTCAGATTTTGGAATATTTGCATATACATAATGAGATATTTTAGGAATGGGCCCCAAACCTAAACATGAAATTCATTTGTGTTGCACAGACACTTTATACACTTAGCCAGAAGATAATTTTATGCACTATTTTAAATGATTTTGTGCATGAAATAAAGTCTTGACTGCATTTTTACTGTGGTCAGGTGTGGAATTTTCCACTTGTGAAGTCATGTCAGCACTCAAAAAATTTTGGATTTTGGAGCATTACAGATTTCAGATGTTTGGATTAAAGATGTTCAACCTGTATTTATTTTAGCATTTTTGCATTTATTTTCATTGTGGGCCATGGGGCTATAGTTTTCCTTTCTTTTTTGGTTTGGGAATCATGATTATAGTAGCTTCATTAAGATGACTTGGATCACTTTATTTCTTTATCTTTTTTCTCAATTGTATAAGAAGGGATCAGGTCATGCTGTTCATGGTGGCACACTCCTATAATCCCAGCTATGAGGCTGAGGCAGGTGGGTTGCTTGAGGCCAGGAGTTTGAGGTCAGCCTGAGCAACATAGCAACATAGCCTTGTCTCAAGAAAAAAATTAAAGAAATAAAAGAAAAAGAAAAGAAGGAAAGGATTAAACTCTTAGAAATCTGATAAGGCTCATCTCTAATTCCATATGGGCTTAGGGTTATTTGGGAGGAAAAGGCTTTGATAATTACTTCAATGTTTATAATGAATTCAAATTCTCTACTCCTTGTTACTAATTTTGACATGTTATTTTTAAAAGAATTTATTCATTTTATTTATGCTCTCTATTTTATTAGTTAATAATTATTCATAACATACTTTTAGTATTTTAAATCTCTGTAGCGGCTATATTAGTTCCCCTTTTAAAAATTTCTGTACTTTGTTAATTTCCAACTTCTCTTCTTTTACTAATCAATTTGACCAAATAAGTGTCTACCTCATTTGCCTTTTGTATAAACCAGCTTCTGTTTTTGCTAATTCCTCTATTTATTTTTCCTATCTTATTGATTCTTCCTCTTGTCTTTATTATTTAACTATCTTCCAGTTATCTACTACTGTATGACAAAGCACTCCACACTTAATGGATTAAAATAATATTTCATTATTGTCTCTCAGGGTTCTGTAGGTTCACCGAGCTTTGCTGGTGGATTCTCAGTTTGGATTTGTGTTTGCAAATAGATAGCAGCTGAGCCGGAGTCATCTGGATACTTAAGTTGGACAGATGCTCAAGAAGGTTCACCCACATGGCTGGCAGTTGATGCTGACTGCTGGCTGGGAGCTCAGCGGGGGCTGTAAACCAGCACACTTCTTTATGTGACTTGGACTTCTTATTAGCATGGCAACTGGGTTCCAAGAGGGAGTTGCTAAGGAAGAAACATGCCAAGAGATGCAGACATCCAGACAAAAACTGCAAGGCTTTTCATAAGTTAGCCTTGGAAGTCCTAGAATATTACTTCCTCTACATTTTCATGATGGAGCAAATCACAAAGTCCAGCCCATATTCAAGTGCATTTCCTCTTAAAGACTTGTGAACTAAAGAGACACGTGATCTACTCATGTAGAACCAATATACAATGGTGAAATAGGCGTAGGATAGTAAATTCTCCCATTTATAAAGGGGAGAAGAGGAAACAATAGCGGTCACTTGTCTATAGTGATTCTGAAATCTAGCTGGAAACATGTAACCAGTTTCTTAATTAAGGCCCAGTCCTGCTTCCTGGAAGTGATTTTCAGTAGCTCTTGGCTCAGCCGTCTGGGGTCCTTTCTCTGCACTCTGAGTCATCATTCCTTCTTTATAAGAAATGGTCTATGATTGCTGGTAAGTCGTTTTATGGACCTATATTTAAATGACAGAAGATGGGAGCCCCAAGGACTCTTCATTTTCAACTGTCTCTGTATCTTCTATTCAAATTCACAGTGTTTCTGTTAATACAATTTTCATAAACATATTGTATGTTTCCTATGACTCTTACTTTGGTTCACTCCATCAGAAAAAAAGCCACACCCATAAATCTCTTTGAGATTTATGGTAGGGCTGAGATTCAAGATGCTATGGCTCAATGCTTTTAAAATTCTTAGAAGTCTAGGAAGCATACACATAAAATCCTTAAAAGACCTCTTAACTAGCTAAGATGGTCTAAGCGGTACCACCTGAAATTGTTCTAAAGTCCAATAGGTGGACTCTTGATCTGAGCCTTACTCTGAGGCCATGTCTTACTGGTAGTACCCAGGTATTTATCATTTCCCTAAAGGTCTTTTTAAATTTTGTGAACCTTTTGATGGAAGGAAAGACTGTTCCAGGCCCTTTATCTTTCCTCTAAATTCTACTAAAAAACTAAACAGTTACTTCTGTACTTACGTTCTCTCTATCTGAACTTTTTCTTTTCTTTTTTTTTGAGATTGGGTCTCCCTCTATCACCTAGGCTAGAGTGCAGTGGCACAATGATCACGGCTCACTGCACTGCAGGCTTGACTTTCCAGGCTCAAGTGATCCTCCCGCCTCAGCCTCCTGAGTAGCTGGGACCACAGGCGTGCACCACCACACCTGCCTAATTTTTGTATTTTTGGTAAAGACAGGGTTTTCCCATGTTGCCCTCAAACTCCTGAGTTTAAGTAATCCAGCTGCCTCAGCCTCCCAACTGCCTCAGCCTCCCAAAGTGCTGGGTATCTGAACTTTTTCATATGCAACCAAAAGAAACCAGCAGATACTCTCAACCTTCTGCTTGGCGATTTCTTTCCTTTTCTTTCTTTTTTTTTTTTTTTTTTTGATAGGGTCTCGCTCAGTCACCCAGGCTAGAGATACAGCGCAGTGGCACAGTCTCAGCTCATTGCAGCCTCCATCCCCAAGTTCAAGCAATCCTCCTAACTCAGCCTCCTGAGTAGCTGGGACTACAGGTGCATGCCACCACGCCCAGCTATTTGTTTGTATTTTTAATAGAGACAAGGTTTCGCCATGTTGCCTGGGCTGGTCTTGAACTCCTGAGCTCAAGCAATCCGCCTACTTTGGCCTCCCAAAGTGCTGGGATTAGAGGCGTGAACCACTGCAGCCAGCCTGCTTGGAAATTTCTTTAGCCAAGTCCAACAATTAAATAAATGCATTTCTCTACTTTCCATGTTGCCATAGACAAATGTTTCCCTGGGCTTGCCATTATTATATGAAAGATATCTAAAGATATCCTGATTTCTCTGGACTCCATTAACAATTCCTTATTGTCTTTCCAGCACTCACTAACAATCTCCTCCCCTTCCAGCTTCTGCCTGTTGCACAAAATTCCTGCAGCTAAAGTTGTACGGAAGATGAACTCACAATCCAAAATTATAAAATACATGAGGAACAACCCACCATGAACAAACATTGACACATATCATGATTAGACCCCCAATTATTTCATAGGATTAAAACAATTTAAGAAAAAAAGAAATTACAAAGTGAAAAGAGTATCAAGAAAGATCAGGTAGATATGAAAAAGAACCAAATAAAACTTTTAGAAACGAAAAACGCAGGCAAAGGTAGTCTTAGCAAAGACTAAATAGACTAAATTAGTGACTTGAAGACAGATCTACAGAAATTACAGACAGAAAAGTAAACATATACAATTAAGAGATATGTAGATACACCTCCCAAGACAGAAAAGTTTTAATAATTTAAATAGACATTCCCCTCTCAAGGAAATGTTGCAGTTCAGGTAAATCCACATTCTTCAGTGTTGGCTGCACATAGTGACTTTCTTCCAGTACAAAAAGAGAGGGAAAAGGGTAACTTTAAGTAGAATAACTTGATCTCAACCTCTGATTAATGTTGACATCAACAAGGATAAGTCGTATTAATAGATGTACCCTTGATATGATGTGATGAGAATGGTACTTTATACCTCTGTAGTTTTCCTTCTAAAACATCCATAGTCCCCATGTAATTATAAGAAAAAAACCTAAGACAAACCCCAATTGAGGGACGTTCTACAAAAATACTAAAGCAGTACTCCTAAAAACTGTAAAGGTCATCAAAAACGAGGAATTACAAGATGGTATTTAAGGAACTACTGCAACATAATCTAATCTATCCTGATCATTGGTGTACCAAGGCTGGGGTGGTGTGGGAATAGTCTACACCATTCTACGTGGTGGAGGGGGTACATTGTCTGTGGATAATTTAAAACAATAATAAAGAGACTAATTGTTCATCTGCTTTTTATTACCACATGCATTGGCAATTCCAAACAGGGTCAGTAATAAATTATTTTTCCCAGTTGGATCAATGTGCTCCACACTCATCCTTTCTCCCACCTACCATGCCACTGATCTTGATGATACAATTGATAAATGTAAATAAGTACTGACTGATTAAAAAATAAACGTTTTTTTTCAAAAAAAATGAGGTGAAATAAAATATTTGCCAATAACAGGGAAGAAAAGGGGTATTCAATAGGTCAAGTGTGCCAAGGTCCTTGTCTTGTTTAGGAGGAGAATAGATCATAATGGCGAAAAAAGAAAAAAAAGAACTATGATTGGAATGTGATATAACCGTAATGTGATACAATATTAACGTAATGCAACCTATGCTCATCATGTTTACTGAATTGGTTTAATGTATTTTGCTGATCATTTATACTGTTCACCCAACTTTAAATAAATGGGCCTGTATTTGACTTATTTGTTTTTCCTTAATAATTATCATTGTCCTTCTTAGAACTTCCTATTGTTCCTCATCATCCAGTCACTGAGGGACCTAAACAAATGTTGCAGCTCAGGCAAATCCACACTCTTATGCTACTAGAGGCTTTGTACAGTTTGATTCAGTGATCTGACAGCTGACAGGCCCTTAAAAAACACCGAACAAACAACACTGGCATTTCCCCACATTGAATTCATTTTATTATAGAAACAGTCTCACTCTCTCACCCAGACTGAAGTGCAGTGGTGACATCATAGGTCACTGTAACCTCCTACTCCTGGGCTCCAGCCATCCTCTCGATTCAGCCTCCTGAGTAGTAGCCGGGATTACACCAAGCTCGTCTGATTTTTTAAAATTATTACTCTTCTATTTTTTTGTAGAGACAAGAGTCTGGACATATTGCGCAGGCTGGTCTCCAATTCTTGACCACAAGCAACCCTTCTGCCTTGGCTTCCCAAAATGTTGGGATTACAGACATAAGCCTGTACCACTCCTGGCCTCACACTGAACTTCGACGTAACTTTATACATGGCTTCCTAGCTCAATTTCTTGAGAAAACGGGAAGAACGGAGAGCTCCCTGGGCACCACTGCTTTTCAGTGTCTTATACATGGGTCTGAGTGTTCTAAGACATCTTTGAATGGAAAACTACTTTCTCTCTTTTTTTTTGGAGGTGTAGAGAGGAATGGCGCATGATTCAACTTAATGATATTGCACCTAAGAATGTTTCTAACTGTAAGAAAACGCAGTATCAAAAAATCCAAACTTTAAAACAAGTCAACTAGGTAGCAGTTACAAAGATGCCTTGATTTACAAAAGGATTCACCAGAGGTTTTCTTTTCAGCAGCTTTGTAATCCTTTACTTTCCCCATTGCGTTTCAAAAGCTATTTACAAATTTCAGGACTCTATTTCATAAAGCAAATGTCGTTTTTAAAATGTAATAACTCTAATGATAAAAGCCACTTTAGAAATATTGGGAAATACAAATATTTGAAAAACAAAAACCATGTGCAATCCCAGCGTTAATACTCTCACTATTCTGGTACATTTCCTTGGCATCTTTTAAGCACCACTTATGCACATCGATGCGCGGGTCTTCGGAGACTGTATTTAACTCCTCGGTTTCAGGCATCCGGGGCGGCCACCCGCGGGCCGCGGTCCCCAGCAGGCTCCGGCGAGACTCCTTCCTTTCTTTTTTCTGCTCCACCTCCCTAAACCTTCCAGTTTCAGCCACAGATAGTCTCTTCCACATATAGCTAGCTTCAGCCCTCCCACATTCCATCTCAAAACAACAAAAAAAATCCCCTTCAAGCGGGAGTCACATCTCTGGCAGGAAGGCAGAGGCTCGTCCCACAGCAAGGAGACTGGGGCGGCCGCAGCGCGCGCTCCCGCTTGGGCGCGGCCCTACTCCCGCCGGGCTCCGCCCCCCCCCCGCCCCCTTCCCGCCCCCTTGGGCGGGGACGCGCCAGGGAAGCGCGCGGCCGCGAGCCCTGGGCGCCATTTTAGACTCGCTGTTTGTGGCCCAGGTGCAGGAAGCTTACGCGGTGGCAGCCGCTCGCTGAGGTAGTCTCTCGCGGCGCCGGGGATCCCTGAACACAGACAGCGCGGGACTGAGAAGGAAAGCTTCTTTCTGGGCAGCCAGAGCCGCAAAGGTGGAGCCGCGTTGGCGCCCTCCGCGGGACCAGCGCCTCGGATGCGGGCGGAGCGCGGGGGGCCGCGGCTGCGGGAGCGCGAAGCGGGGGGCCAGGGGCGCCTCATGTGAGAGCCGCGGGACCTGCAGCCGCCGCCGTCCCCGGAGCACGGGGTGGTGTGTGGGGGAAGCCGCCCCCGGCAGCAGGTAACGGCGGAGGGGCAGGGCCGAGCCCCGCTGCGACGGCGGAGCCGGGGAGGGACCGCGGACCGTCTGTGGGCGGGCCGGGGTGGGGTGGGGTGGGGGGGGGCGCGGGGGCCGGGGCGCGCGCGGGCCGCTCCTCAGGAGTGCCGGGCGGGGCGCGGGGCGCGGCACCCAGACCTTGGAGCTTGCTTGGGGGCGTTTCCCCGCCGTGCCTGCTTCCAAACATGTCAACAAGGCGTGGTGCGTGTGCGGCGGCCGCCTGCAGCCTGCCCGCGACGCCGCCGCTCCCGGGTTCGCCGCGGCTCCTGCCAGGCTTTATGACCCTTGGCGGGGGCTGGTGACAGGCACCATGGAGCTCGCACTCTGTGGGCTCTCCCGGCGTCGGCTACGCCCGTGCTGGTAGCTTGAGCAATGAGGCACTGAAATGTCAAAGCAAACTGCCCAGGGTGGGGCGCATGAGAAATGTCAGGGGAAGCCAGTCGGTGGGGAGGTGGCGCAGGGAGGAGGGGACGCCCCTGCCGCTTAGCCAGGCGAAAAACTTGGTCAACTTGTGTTGAGCGGATTCGCGTCTGCCTTTGGCGTGGGCAGTCCTTTAGGTGGGGTTGCAGACAGGGGTCAGGAAGCAGCCCAGTAAATGGTCTGTATCTCCAAGCTGAGAGGTGAGAGAGATCATTTTTATTTTGTCGTTGCTAATGATATCCAGTTGAGTGACCCAGATTTTTTAATTAGAATCCTCCTTTTCTAACTTGAAAAAAAAGTAACTTAGTTTCTGTTATCTCTGAAATATTTATAAAAATACCATCAACTATCAGTTATCTATCTATCTATATGACCTGTAGACAGATTTTCGCCACTGTGCGCTCTCTAAGCATTTAGTTGTGAGTTAACCTCTTTATAGTGTTTTATTCTTGTAGTTCAGCCAAAGAATGCATATTAGTTTGATATTAGTAAAAGCAGAACAGAAAGGAACTGTGATGCCAAAATAGGCTTTTTAGAGTTAACTACAAATGAGCATTTAAAATTATTGCATGCCCAGTGTAAAAGTGCCTAATACAACGATGCACACGGCTAGCTGTTCACTTCCGGTCTTCACCTAATGAAGTTGCTTCTTTCAAAGTTTTTTTTTTTTTTTTTTTTTTTTTGAGACAAGGACTCACTTTGTCACCCAGGCTGGAGTGCAGTGGCGCGATCTCGGCTCTAGCGATCCTCCCACCCCAGGCTCCCTAGTAGCTGAGACTACAGGCATGGGCCACCATGCCCAGCTAATTTTTGTAGAGACAGGTTTCATCGTGTTGCCCAGGCTGGTCTCAAACTACTGAGCTCAAGCGATCCGCCCGCCTTGTCCTCCCAAAGTGCTGGGATTACAGGCGTGGCCCACCGCGCCCACCTGGAAAGTTTATGGAACATAGAGTTAGTTCACTAACTCCTTGTGCTGCTCAGCTAGTCTGTGGTCTTTCCTCAGTAGTTTGCTATTTAGCAGTTTGTAGTCATATCAGTCCCTCACCAAAAGCTGTGGTGGCCTAAGTTGCATTATTTGGGGCCTAGAAGCTTTGCAGGAAATTAAACTGCCAGAGCCCTGAAGAGGCCTAGTTTTGGTGCTCTAGATTTCTAGAGTCTAGAATGTCTCATTGACGTTTTATAGTACAGCTTGGTTCTCCACACTTCTTTTCAAATATAGGAGGTGTTTTCACTTTGACAAAAGTAGGAATTATAGGGTCCATTGATGTAAATTATTTGCAGGCTGGAAGATGCTCTGAGATGTTTAATTTTATGTATAGCAGAGTTTCATGTGTAAATAGATTTAATAAGATACTATTAAAGTAGTGTAAATTTTTTCATACATAAATGAAATCAACTTGGAAAAATTGACATTTAAAATTTTAAGTGTCCACTCACTTCTGTTATTTTCATGCACAAATGAGGATAGTGCAGAGGATATTTTTATTGGAATTTGGCCTTACATTTTTTTCAATTGCTTAATGCACTATAATTGTAACATAGACATATTACGTATGACAATTAACAGACTTAATTCAGCTATTTGTAAACTGGTAAGTTCTTAAAATAGGCTTTGGTGATCATATAGTGTTTTTATATCTAGATCAAGAGATACTGTCCCTTAGTGTTGCATACTGTTAAAAAAAATTTTGTCAACTTCTTTAACCTGAACTTGGAAAGGTATTTAAGTACATTTTATTTAAAACAGTACTATAATAGACAAAAGAAAGTTTCTATTTTTAGGACCAGCAAAGTATTTATTAGCAAAGACTATTATGTGAATAAGGCTACCATTTTATTTTTGTTTATATATCCATATACTCTAAAGTAAAATGAATCATTCCGTCTTTAAGTTGTCTAGTTCTGGTTTTAGAAGATTGTTCTCCAGAAACAGGCAATCAGTATTCTATAATAAGGTGTAGAAATTGCAAAGACTGTCATTCTTTTTTGAATCTCTGTATCTCAAAATTGTGAGTAGTTTTAGGTGGTCAGAAGAGAAATTATAAGCTCTGGATAGCAAACACTTTGTTCTTTGACCCAAATTTTATATACTAAAATTAAAGTAAGCCTTCAGGGTAAGTTAAAGCAGAAAAATGGGTCATAATAACAGTGTTATCTCAGCCTCTAGTGAGGGATTATTATTAGAAGAGACTTAATATTAAAGATTACAGTGTAGACTATACACTTTTCTCTAAACTTATTAAAAAAAAACTAATCTCAAGTCACACATAATTTCCAGTCTTCCATCAGACTACCTTCTTGCTGTCACCTCTGTCATTCTATTTTCTCTCTTGTTCTCTCCCTGATCAGTAGGGTATACGTAATATATTTTATTCACATAGTTGGGAATAGGAGCAGTGAAGAATAGGCAGTTTATTGCACATATGCTAAGACGTCTTTGACTGACTTTCATGGCATTAAGGTCAGAGGCCTCTGCCATTCTCTTTTTACTCTCCAGCCCTCAATCCTCTTTCACAAGTTTTGCGAGGTACTGGGTGGAGAAAGTCTGCAGAAACATTTGTTTTACAGTAATGCATATGCATATCCTTCATCTCACACAGGAATGAGAAATTCTTTTATGCTGATAGGCCAGAGGAGTGTTGGAGCAACAAGCCATCTTTCTGAAAGATTGTGACCCCAAGTTTAGGTCGAAACCACTACCCTGCCAGAACTGTTCTCTAGAAACAAAAGTATTACAGGCTCTGAACTAAGTAACTACCAGTGAGTGGTCTGCAGCCATTTAGTTTAGAGCCTGCTATACTTTTCCAAAAAGTCCGATTACACGGTAATGCATTGATAGTAAAAGAAAATGTGTAAAACATAAAAAGGGAAGAGATGTTTGCAAGAAAAAAAAATTACCTGTAATCTGCCGTCTACTGTTGGTTACTATAATAATTCAGTGAGTCTACTTCCAGGGTGTGTTTTCTCGTACACAAGCTCACTTGCCCTGTCTCTCTGACACACACACACACACACACACACACACTCTCTCTCTCTCCATTTTAAAGCAAAAATAGAGTCGGGTGTGGTGGTGCATGCAGATACTCTGGAGGCTGAGGTGGAAGGATTGCTTGATCTCAGGAGGTCGAGGCTGCAGTGAGCCATGATCGTGCCACTGCACTCCAGCCTGGGTGACAGAGCGAGACCCCATCTTGAATGAATGAGTGAACGGAATGAATGAATGAGTGAACGGAATGAATGAATGAATCATTCTCTGCCTTCTGGGTAGTAACCCTGGTTTTTAGCATGTTGTGTACTTTAATGTCGTTAATGCTGGACTGCTTTCCTACACAACAGTCATATCTCAACAGTTCAACAGTCGTATCTCCCCTTTGAAAAGCCTTAATAGTATTGCATTTCTCACAGAAACCCTGTTTTATTAAACTAATTTTGGAAATTTAAGCACAGGAATATCAAGTAATTTGCTCAAAGCCACATAGCCAGTGAGAGGTAGAGCCAGAATTCAAACCCAAGGAGCTTGGTTCCAGAGCCCATTCTCTTTAGCCATAATACTGTTTTGCCATGAAAAAACTATCTTTCAAAGAAACTAATGGAATGAAAGTGCTAAGAATACATAGAATAAACAAATAGGTATAATTCAGAAACACAACTTGGGGAAAACAGTGCAATATTAAGTGATGTGTTTGAAGAAGCAGCTACATTCCAGACCAAACA
Source organism: Homo sapiens (assembly GCF_000001405.40). Classification (NCBI taxonomy): domain Eukaryota; kingdom Metazoa; phylum Chordata; class Mammalia; order Primates; family Hominidae; genus Homo; species Homo sapiens. The sequence goes on along the minus strand of NC_000013.11, from coordinate 77,022,656 downwards.
ATTCATAGTAGGGGTGGTTTTGCTTATTTTAGGCGGAGTTAAGAAATGTCTGGCAGTAACACATAGCATAGCCCAGTGCCTGTCCGTGGCAGGGGGTGATTTCAGGAAGAAACTGTTCCACCTCAGATCATCAGGCATTAAGAGTCTCATAAGGAGCGCACAACCTAGATCCCTCATGTGGACATTTCACAATAAGATTCTCACTCCTATGAGAATCTAATGTAGCTGCTGATCTGACAGGAGGAGGAGTTCAGACTGTAAAGCTTGCTCACTTCCTGCTATGGGGCCCAGTTCTGGTCCTCAGGCCAGAACCACAGGACCCCTGTATAGACTATTAAATGTGGAACATCCTCTCTGGAGGTTCTTGGGACCCTGGTTGGCCTGGAATTCAAGAACAAATATCCTTAGATGACTTTTAAGAAACCTTTACAAAGTATCGCTGTAGGTTCCCTTTTATATTCATTTTAGTTAAGTTGACCACAACTTTTGAAATATAAATTCTTAGCATAGTTTCAAAATCATAATACTCTCTCCCATGTAGTATATACTGTATATTATACTGATAAATGTAGATGTTTAAAAACATGCCAAAAAAGTGTAAAATTTATAAAACCATTGTTGGCCTTCATTGGCATTTTTCATAATAGTTTGTTTTGGTATTCTTGAATTACTGATCCAGTTTTTCCTGCATGTTTGTGTATATAAACACACATCTCAGTGACAGAAGAATGAATTTTGAGTTTATTTCTATTCAAAAGTTGAGTAGGAAAAAAACTGATGCATTTTTCGGAATAGGATGAAACGAGGAGGAAGAGATAGTGACCGTAATTCATCAGAAGAAGGAACTGCAGAGAAATCCAAGAAACTGAGGACTACAAATGAGCATTCTCAGACTTGTGATTGGGGTAATCTCCTTCAGGACATTATTCTCCAAGTATTTAAATATTTGCCTCTTCTTGACCGGGCTCATGCTTCACAAGTTTGCCGCAACTGGAACCAGGTATTTCACATGCCTGACTTGTGGAGATGTTTTGAATTTGAACTGAATCAGCCAGCTACATCTTATTTGAAAGCTACCCATCCAGAGCTGATCAAACAGATTATTAAAAGACATTCAAACCATCTACAATATGTCAGCTTCAAGGTAATATTTTAAATCCTTCTTTTAAAAAATAAAGTATTTTTAGTGGCTTTGTTTCCTAAACCAGTACATCTTCTCATGCCTTTAAAATATTTGCTTTTTCAGGGAAAATGCTTAAAAATTTAGAATTATTGTATACCTTAGAAGCTGTCACAAAATATTATATTTGATGGAGCTAAATTACTCTATTAATTATTAATAATTTCTTAAAACAGCAAAAGCAGCCACTAAATAAGCATAAGTCATTGATAAAGCTGTGAATTACATTGAATTATTGTGAACGATTTTGAGGAAGAAGAAATATCTAATAAAATAAAAATTGGGAGATTATAATTGAGTAGAGCTTAATTGCTATTTCTATCTAACAGGAACTTAGTGTTACTTACTGATGGCTTTTTGAAATGGGATCTTCAGATGAAAAGGAAGCATAGAAACTTTATGTAGAAGATTTAGATGAATATATTTTAGAGAGAAATAGAAAAAGGTACATGGGAGAATGCCAAAGGGAACTGTTTATTTCTTTTTGTTGCTGGAAGGAAGGTATTGGAAATCATGCAGTGATGAGATAAATGAAGTGGGTGGCTTTTTGCGATATCCAGAATAATTTAAGAAATCATAGCTGGATGTGGGTACCTGTAGTCCCATAGTCCCAGCTTCTCAGGAGGCTGAGGCGGGAAGATTGCATGAGCCCAGGAGTTTGAGGTTGTGGTGAGCTATGATTGTGCAGCTGTACTACAGCCTTGGTGACAGAGCGAGACCCTGTCTCTATTTAAAAAAATAAAAAATCACAGTGGTTTGTGTGAGGCTTGTCATGTTTTGTTTGGGTGATGAATAATGAAATATGGACATGTTTACTGGATCTTTAAACACCAGATTTTGTGGTAGCAAATAACTTATTGAAAAAAAAAAACAATGCATGAATACTTGATTTATCTGGACACAAGCAGTTGCTGAATAGTCCAGGCTAAACCTAGGCAGAACAGTAGTTCTTAACCCAGAGCTTCTGGCCATAACTAAAATCTTGTCTTCCCTCGAAGAATGTAATTTCCTCTTAGGTGGAGATTACCTGCTTATTCTCCCATGTCTGTCCAAGGAGGAGGAGAGAATTGGTGGTGGGAATGGTTGGATATGTTTTTGCCTTTTTTTTCCCAGAAAACTGCACAAAGGCGCTTAGGCCACTGATTGCCAGGTTTTACAAATAAAAATGTAAGATGAGTATTTAAATTTGAATTTCGGATAATCAATGAATAATTTTTAGTATAGTTACATCCCTTTTAATGTTTAGGACATCTTTAATGCTAAAAAATATCTGTTGTTTACCTGAAACTTAATTGGTGTCTAGTATATTATCTTGCGATCCTAACTGGGGGCAAAGGTAGGGGGATCAAACAAAAATTCAGGACTCATCCCCATACCCCCAGGGAAGAAGGCTAAAGAGGTTTCTGTTTGGTTTTAGTTATCTTTGAATTGTGTAAGAGTGTTCTAATGGTAAATTGTATACAAAGATGAGTATAATACAAATACATTCCTCTGATAGGTCTTAAAGTCCAGTTCCACCTAGTAGATTTGCTGGGTCATTTTTATAGCCCTGTGATACAATTCAGGTGTATCTAGTATAACCCTCATAAAATCATTTGTGCAAAAGTTGAACATTTTTAGTAGGGTTTTTTTTTTAATTTTCCTGAGGAAATAATTTCTGATTTACAAAAAAGAGTCACATCACAGGATTCTTCTGGGCTCTCCTGATAGTCTTCACTGATTATAGACCAAGGAGGCTTATAGTTAGAATTTTTAGTCTAGAAGAGTGGTTCTCTAACTTTATGTGCATCAAAATCACCTGAAGGGCTTGTAAAGCCAAAAATTGCTGGTCCCACCCCCACAGTTTCTGATTCAGATGGTCTGGGTTGGGTATGAACATTTGTTCCCATTTAAGTTCCCAGGTGATGTTGATGCTGCTAGTCTCAGGGACCACATATTATCTATAAGTAGCTCTGAAACTAATATAATTAGCACATTAGTTTTACAATCCACTCTTAACATTTTTGGGATAAAGTAGTGTATATGAATCTGGAAATTAATAATATCCTTTTAACTGTTTTAAGGTGCTTCCCAGGAAACAACTAACTTTTTGATGGATGAACTCCTTTTTACATCCTTGAGGGATTTTTTGGCCCTTTATCCTTCCCTTAGGAAATGTCTTTGCAGAAGTATGTGTGAGAATAGCTACATCTTATTTAGTTTAGATTTTCATGCCTGACTGGTCCAGTACACTCATTTTACTTCACATCTTTCCATTAATAACATTAATGATGAATCCCAGGTTGTGATACACGTGAACATTTTGAGTAAATACTTAGTTTTTATTGCATACCATAGACACTGTATTTACATCTATTATGTGATCCACTACCAAATACATAATTATTTTTTAAAGACTATAAATTGATTTACTCCATTAGTTTATACAGTCACTTTGGAATAAATCAGTGTAAAAGCCAACATTAAATATGTCTCTTATCATAATGAAAGCTAGGTCTTGTCTTGACAATTGCCCTTATACTTTTTCAGAGAGACTTAGAAAAGGCCAAGTTGGAGGTGAGGGTGGAGGGTGGATGATTGAAAGAATATTCTTTAAGTTATAATGCAATAAACTAGTAATGATACTTCTATAAAATGAATATGTGTACAGAGAAATATAAATATATACATGAGTAATCTTGAAGTCTGGGTATTTGGGGAAAAAAGTAAAAAAATAATAAAATATTCATGAGTAAACGGTGTTTCTTTTCTAAGGTGGACAGCAGCAAGGAATCAGCTGAAGCAGCTTGTGATATACTATCGCAACTTGTGAATTGCTCTTTAAAAACACTTGGACTTATTTCAACTGCTCGACCAAGCTTTATGGATTTACCAAAGGTATCTGCTGTTTTTGTTTTATTATCTATTACTGAGAAATTCAGTGAAAGTCTAATCTTTTTTTTTTGTATTGACAGTGTGAGTATAAGGAAAGTTATATATATACATAATGGAAAACCAGTTACTATTTAGGATGAAAATAAATAGTATTTTTTTAAGCTTTTTTTTTTTTTTTTTTAAATCACCATACTTCTAAATTGGTATGGTTAAAGAAATTTACAGAGGCGTCTATAGGAAGTATTAAAAGAAATTCAGTAAGTAAAATAGAGTCAAGCATATTAGAAAAAAAGGGACACATAGATACTCATTTTGGGGCTTCCAGAGCAGGTTGGTGAAGTTAGAATCAAAGAAAAGTAGAGTGCCAATATTGAGAGCAGGTATAGCTTCTAAAATCTTTTGGCAAATGTTCTGGAAAGATTTAATCATGACCAAAGTTAGTCTCAGCACAGTTTAGATTAATTTACAGACTTAAAGACATCCTTTCTTTGGGTGAAAAGTTAACATATATTCTTATATATATTCTAACATGATCCTGCATATAATCAGAGATCGTGTCTCTCTCTCACAACTATTCTCTTAAAATACAAAAATAAGAAGGGTGCATTTTTAGAAAGGCAACTGGTAAAGGTGTCTGAATATGTTAGCTAATGGTTAATAGGTTAGTATCCAACAATAATTTGATATTTTTTTCCCAGAAGACACTGAAAACTAAAATATAGACACCCTTTTAAGTATCTAGTAGTTTAATGTACTAGGATGATTGAGGAGGGAATATAACTAAATTGAATATATTAACCCAAGTGGTCGTTTCAGTGGAATGTCTGTACCAAATAAATCACCAGTTGATGTCAAAGTCTTAATTGATTTTGAAACATTTTCATTACATATGTATATTTTGAGATAAAATGTTTTTCTTCACATATAAAATAAGGGAAATGGGCAGGAGAATCTGATTATCTTAATATTTTAAGATCCTAAGTACAGAAAGATCATTGTGGTACTCCGACTTAATGTGTAAAAATCTTCTGAATAGCCTCCTAAATTTTGGATTTCTATCCCTTTTTCAAATTCGGGGTGATTCTAAGTCTTCTCTTCCTGTGAGCAGTCCAGGTGATTCTGATTAAGATGGTTAAAGGAACTCACGCTAAGAAATACTAGTTACATGGTATAGCGCCACCTTCAAGCTTCAAATAGGAAATGAAACAATCTGAATTGATTTTTAGTGTACCTACCATAGCTAAAATACAAATATACATACTGACTCATATGGTATGTATGTATACCATATTAAAGGATATGTTGAACATAATTTAATTTTCTTTTTTTTCTTATCACTATGCATATATCTAGTACTAATTTGGGAACCATGAATGGAGCTAATGGAAAGAATGCTTCTTCCCTTATTAAGTGAGGCTAGGATACTTAATAACTGTTTTTCTTTTTTTCTTTTCCTTTTATGGCTTTGGTAGAAGATTGAAGTAGGGCGTTGCAATATTTTGGAAATCCCAAGAGAACTGAAGAGAACATAGAAGAAATGTTTTTGTCCAGAGCTAAATTGGGGAAATGGGGAAAGACGTCAGTGATGCACTCATTAGACTGCAAATGAAATATGTTTGTACAAGATATAATTGAGTTTGATATGAAAATATTAGGAGAAAAATATTAACATTTAAGTAGTTAAATAGTTTATCAAAATCTAGTTAACCAGTTGTTTAATCACAGTAGGGAAAAAGTAAATTAGGGAATTGTGATCAAGAAGGTAGTGTTTTGGTTGGGTGTGGTAGCTCACAGCTATAATTGGAGTACTTTGGGAAGCCGAGGCAGGAGGTTCTGTTGTGGCCAGGAGTTCAAGATCAGCCTGGGCAGCATAGCAAGACCCATCTCTACAAAAAAAAAAAGTTAGCTGGGTATGGTGGCTCACACCTATAGTCTTAGCTACTAGGGAGGATGAAACAGGATTGCTTAAGTTCAGGAGTTCAAGGTTGTAGTGAGCTAAGGAGTGCCAGTGCACTCCAGCCTGGGTGACAAGAACAGTACTCTGTCTCAAAAAAAAAAAAAAGTAATGTTTCATTATACTTTCTTGGCTCTTAGCCTGCCCTTATCCTTTTTCACTCCTGTAGAGAATTTATAAAGCTTAACTGGAGCATGAAGTTGGTTTTGTAGAGAGGAATGTGTTAGACCATGTATTAGCCTTTCTTTACTCTCCTAGATTCTTTGCCCAGTGGTTTCAACTCATATCTTAGCTCCGATTGAGAGCTGCATACTTTGAGAATGCTTTAATTCCTGTTTGCCTACATTGATTCCTTTAGATCAAATCCTGTCCAACAGATATATAACGTGTGTGTGTGTATGTGTGTATATACACATATGTACATACATACAAATATATACATATATGATGAATGATACTCATTGGTGCTTTTGTGGATCAAAATACATTAAAATAGAAGACTTGAAAATATTGTAGATAACATTTGAAGGAGTTTTAAACTTGGAATTTTAAGTATTATTTTGATTGTTTTATAATCAAATTTTCTATGAGTTTTCATATCTCAAATGAGTCTGTCATAGATTTTGAATAAATTATTAATTTTTAATGATGGTGTTAATAGTTACTATTTAGTGGTCATAACTATCAAACAGAAAAGAAATGCAGTTTAGTGTTATAGAACACTAGGGTTTCCAGATATGGCAAAATGAAGTGTCTGAGAGAGATTCTCATCCTGGGTTCCAGAATTCCTCTTTTTACTTACCAGTGGTTTCTCTGATTTAGAGACACTTATCCTGAGGCTTGAAATGCTTTTTTCCCCCACACATAAATAGACTCTTCTCAAAGATGACAGATAGTCACCTATTTTTACCATATTCCCAACAACAGAGTGAAGGGATGCCACCCCTAAAACATTTACAAAATATTAATATGTCATTATGGTTCAGATAAACTGTAGTACTAGGAAACCCCTTGATTCTCATTTCTAAAAATTGAAATAATTTTTATTTTATTTTTTTTGCTTTTCAGTCTCACTTTATCTCTGCACTGACAGTTGTGTTCGTAAACTCCAAATCCCTGTCTTCGCTTAAGATAGATGATACTCCAGTAGATGATCCATCTCTCAAAGTACTAGTGGCCAACAATAGTGATACACTCAAGCTGTTGAAAATGAGCAGCTGTCCTCATGTCTCTCCAGCAGGTATGTTGTGTTTTTTGCTAGACACATTTTAGTAAAATGCATTGCTATGTTCAAATTAGAAAAAACTATGATCATTAACCTTGAAGGTGGATTAATATGACTGCTTCATCTCTTTAAAATATTTTTAATGTAGTAATAGAATAGCATAAGTTCTGTAGGGTTACTAGCCTAGACACTGACTTTCAGCTTATTTTCTAATCTTATTTGATAAATTTATGAATAGCACATGCTAGAAAATGAACAGGAAAAAAAAGAGGAAAGGACAGTATGAGGTCAGCCTGAGGTGCTCCATTAATTACAGTAGAGTTTTTTCTCATTGTAGTTGAGCTAATAGGGTAGATTTTGAGTCAGAGCAGTCACATAATTGCTTTTCTTCTCACTATGTAGAGGGAGAAGAGTTGTACTAAGTTGTACAACTAAGTTGTACTAAGTGGTAGCCTTAGATTTTGCAAGATGATGTTTTTCCTAAGTTGAATTTTGGAGCCAAGAACCCATCAAATGCAAGAAGAGCATTATAATAGCTCTTTCCAGTTTCTCTTATATAGGATTTTCTGAGCATTACTACATTATTCAGTTTGAGATTACTTAAATTCCAGGTGGTTTGTATTGAAAAGAGAGTATAAACCCTACTACTGTATTATACTACTGTCTGCTGTTTAATTTCTGACTCCTCCCACTATTGACATGTTTGCTGATCCTTTAGCTGTGTTATTTGGGAAACCTGTTCTTTAAGGTATAGTGACAAATCTTTGATCTTTACAAAAACACTTCCAACCTTCTTGCCATTGCCAAAGGTCAGCCTTCTCCTAAGAAATGATTCCATTTTAGATGGAGATTGCTTGCTCATTCTCCCAAGTCTCCTTGCTCATTCTCTTTTCTCCCACAGGAGACTCCTGGTGATGAGAATGGCTAGGTCTATTGTATTTTCTTAGCCCTCTCTGCCACTTACAGATTACCACTGCCTGTTATAAAACAGAAGTTAAGAATAGGCTTTGGCAGTTAGTTCTTATATGACCTTGATTACATTTTTATATTTACTGTATAGCTCTGCTTTCAGAGTAAAGTCTGTGCTTCCTGGCTTCATAGTGTACAAGGTCCTTTTGTATCTTGACCTCCACCTGTCTCTTGCTGGTCACTCACGTGGAGCTTTTACTTGGGTCCTATGGAACTACAGATTTTTGTTTGTTACCTTTGTTTGTGGTTGCTCAGTACACTTTACCCTGTGGAATACTTGCTCAAATGTTTTAACTTCCCCTTGCTAACTCCAGCCAGCCCAGGCTTCAGAATTCAGCTCAGATGTGATCTTTGTTGACCTGCCTGTCAACGTAGGAGAAGGGAACTTCTCCTTTCTGGTTGAGATTTCCTACCTGTGTATTTCCAGAACACTGTGAACTTTATTGCTAGCATTTAACACATTGTATGAGTCTTTATGTCTCTGATTTCTCTATAAAACTGTGAGTTCATAGTTCTCTTTATTCTGGTATATTCTGTGTTCATTCATTTTTATTAAATATACACAACAGTTCTGATAGTATAGTATAAGCTTACTTGATCCCACTTAATTGTGGGATCCGCCCAATGGGTTCACCTTGTCCGTTGCCCAGACAGAACCGATTTATCAAGATGGGAATTGCAATGAAGAAAGAGTAATTCACGCAGAGCCGGCTGTGTGGGAGACTAGAGTTTTGTTATTACTCAAATCAGTCTTCCCGAGCATTTGGAGATCAGAATTTTTAAAGATAATTTGGCAGGTAGGGGCTTGGGAAGTGCTGATTGGTCAGTTTGGAGATGGAATTATAAGGGGTCAGAGTTAGGTTTTCTTAATGTCTTCTGTTCCTAGGTGCCATGGCAGAACCAGTTGGCCCAGATTACCAGTCTGGATGGTGTCAGCTGATCCATCTAGTGCAGGGTTTGCAAAATATCTCAAGCACTGTTCTTAGGTTTTACAATAATCATGTTATTGCCAGGAGCAATTTGGGGAGGTTCAGACTCTTGGAGCCAGAGGCTTCATGACCCCCACATTGTAATTTCTAATCTTGTAGCTAGTTTGGAAGTCCTGCAAAGGCAGACTGGACCCCGGCAAGAAGGAGGGGTCTTTTTGTGAAACGGCGGTTACCAGTTTTGTTTCAGAGTCAAACCGTGAACCGAATTCCTTCCCAAAGTTAATTCGGCCTATGCCCAGGAATGAACCAGGGCAGCTTAAGGGTTAGAAGCAAGATAGGGTCGGTTAGGTCTGATTTCTTTCACGGTCATAATTTTGCAAAGTTGGTTTCATAATGACTTTTGGACTAGTTCTTCAGGAAGGGAAGGGAAGAGAAAGAATACTTTTTAATACAGCTGGGCACGTTGGCTCACGTCTGTTAATCCCAGCACTTTGGGAGGCCGAGGCAGGCAGATCACGAGGTCAAGAGATCCAGACCATCCTGGCCAACATGGTGAAAGCCCGTCTCTACTAAAAATACAAAAATTAGCTGGGCATGGTGGTGCACGCCTGTAGTCCCAGCTACTTGGGAGGCTGAGGCAGGAAAATCGTTTGAATCCGGGAGGCGGAGGTTGCAGTGAGCCGAGGTCGCACCACTGTGCTCCAGCCTGGCAACAGAGCGAGACTCTGTCTCAAAAAAAAGAAAGAACACTTGTAATACTTTCTATTTGAAGAGCATAACCACATAAGATTTCAGTTGAAATTTCATATTTTCATATTTTCTATCTATCTTTTGCATATTTGGACAGTTTCTCTAAGTTGAAATTAGGGACTGTATTCTACTTTCCTCACTGAACATTTAATCAATTTTCTTTCATTTCCTATAGTTGTTATAATTGTCTGTAACTGGACCTCTAGGTTAGTTTGCCTGTTGCTTCCTTAATATTAATTATCAGGTTGAACTAATGAACATTTAGTTACTTAGTTCCCTATAAAGCCAACATTGCATTATAGTTCTAAAGTTGGACACTTGTTTTTACCTTTTTTGCTGTGATTAAAAAAAAAATTGGCTTATAGCAGTTTGCTTGTATTAATTTCTTCCTTAGGGTACATTCTTAAGAAGTGGAAGTCCTAGGACAAAGGTCTTTGTGCTTTTTGCCATATTTTTTTTTTCCAAATGAGTTGTATGAATTTATAGTACCACCACTAATCACCAATTTTTTAACAGCTTTATTGGCATATAATTCACAATTCTCATTTAAAATGTACAATTTATTGATTTTTAGTGTATTGGTAGAGTAGTGCATGCATCACCACAATTTTAGAATGCTTTTATTATTCTAAAAAGAAACCACATACCTCTTAGCTGTTGCCCCCAAAACCTCCATCCCAGCCATCCCTCAACAACCACTAATCTATTTTCTGTCTCTGTAGATTTGCCTGTTCTGGACATTTCATATAAATGGAAATCTACCTTTTGACTTATGAATAATGCTGCTGTGCACATTTATGTACAAATTTTGTGCGGACATATGGTTTAATTTCTCTTAGGTACATACCTAGTGATCATACTCCCCATTTGAGGTAATGCCAGGCTGTTTTCCAAAGCTGCTGTGTACCACTTTACATAGCCACTAGCAGTGTCTTCTAACACTTATTTGTCTTTTTGATTATAGCCATGCTAGGGGGTGTAAACTCATTGTGGTTTTGATTTACATTTTCTTGTTGACTAATGATGTTGAGTATCTTTTTTTTTTTTTTTTTTGAGACAGGGTCTCACTCTGTCGCCCAGGCTGGAGTGGAGTGGCGTGATCCTGGCTTACTGCAGTCTGGACCTCCTGGGCTTAAACGATCTTCTCACCTCAGCCTCCCAAGTAGCTGGGACCACAGGCATACGCCATTATGCCCGGCTAATACTTTGTAATTTTTGTAGAGATGGGGTTTTGCCTGGTTGCCTAGGCTAGTCTCGAACTCATGGGCTCAAGTGTTCCTCCCACCTCAGCTTCCCAAAGTGCTGGGATTATAGGCGAGAGCCACCGTGCCTGACCTTGACTGTCTTTTCATGGTGCTTCTTGGCCATTTGTATATCTTCTTTGGAGAAATGTCTATTCAGATCCTTTGCCTATTTTTTTTTTTTTTTTTTGGAGACAAAGTCTCCTTCTTGTTGCCCAGGCTGGAGAGTGCAGTGGCATTGATCTCGGCTCACTGCAACCTCCGCCTCCCGGGTTCAGGTGATTCTCCTGCCTCAGCCTCCTGAGTAGCTGGGATTACAGGTGCCCGCCACCACATCCGGCTAATTTTTGTATTTTTAGTAGAGATGGGGTTTCACCGTGTTGGCCAGGCTGGTCGCGAACTTCTGACCTCAGGCAATCCGTCCGCTTTGGCCTCCCAAAGTGCTGGGATTACAGGTGTAAGCCACTGCACCCAGCCCCTTTGCCTATTTTCTAATTTGGGTTATTTGTCTTAATTTATTGAGTCGTAATAGTGCCCTAGTTTTATTTTACTTTTGTCACTGTGTTATGTTTTTAAATACTTGGAACTATGTTCTTACTGGTACATAACTGACAGCTATACACAAAGCAGCTTAAACCAACACCCATTTATTTGCTCCACTGTTCTGTACATTAGAGCTGTAGTTAGGGCTCAAGTGGCTTCTCTGCTTAAAATCTTAAAAGGCTGAGAGGAAAATGTCAGGAAGGCTGGGCTCTTACCTGGAGGCTCTGCAGAAGAATCCACCTCCACGCTCATTCAAGTTATTGGCTGAATTTAGTTCCTTGTGATTGTTGGACTGACATCCAGTTTCCTTATTGGCTGTCAGCAGGAGGCTGTTAGGGGGTCTTTCTGCTCTTAGAGGCTGGTTGTGATTTTTCTTTTTTGGCCCCCTCTAGCTTAGAGCCAGCAATAACACATTGAGTCCCCTTTGCATTTTGAATCTCTCTGACTTCCTCTTCTGCAATCAGCCAGAGGAAACTGCTTTAAAAGGGGCTCATATGATTAGACTAGGACCATCCAGATAATCTTTTATATGCTCAGCTGTACCATATATCATAATCATGGGCATGATATCTTATGGAATTCACAGATGCTAGGCATTAGGGTGTGGGATCTTGGAGGCCATTTTGAGAATTACGCCTGCCACAACTGCTTTTGTAGTTATTAAATGATACTCCACAGTTTCTTTCATTTGAATGGTTAGCTACCATTTCCCATGTCTGTGTGTTTTTTTTTAATTATTATTATACTTTAAGTTCTGGAGTACATGTGCAGAACATGCAGGTTTGTTACATAGATATACACGTGCCACGGTGGTTTGCTGCACCCATCAACCTGTCATCTACATTAGGTATTTCTCCTAATGCTATTCCTCCCCTAGCCCCCCAACTCCCGACAGGCACCAGCGTGTGAGGTTCCCCTCCCGGTGTCCATGTGTTCTCATTGTTCAACTCTCGCTTATGAGTGAGAACATGCGGTGTCTGGTTTTCTGTTCTTGTGTTAGTTTGCTGAGAATGATGGTTTCCAGCTTCATCCATGTCCCTGCAAAGGACATGAACTCATCCCTTTTTATGGCTGCATAGTATTCCATGGTGCATATGTGCCATGTTTTCTTTCTTTAGTCTATCATTGATGGGCATTTGGGTTGGTTCCAAGTCTTTGCTATTGTGAACAGTGCCACAGTAAACATACATGGGCATGTGTCTTTATAGTAGAATGATTTATAATCCTTTGGGTATATACCCAGTAATGGTATTGCTGGGTCAAATGGTATTTCTAGTTCTAGATCCTTAAGGAATTGCCACACTGTCTTCCACAATGGTTGAACTAATTTACACTGCCGCTAACTGTAATAGCGTTCCTATTTCTCCATATCCTCTCCAGCATCTGTTGTTTGCTGACTTTTTAATGATTGCCATTCTAACTGGCGTGAGATGGTATCGGAACGGAGATGTGCTTAGGTTACCTTGAGTAATTAGAGTATATTTCAAAGTATATAAAATAGCCGGGCGTGGTGGCGTGTGCCTGTAACCCCAGCTACTTGGTAGGCCGAGGCAGGAGAATTGCTTAAACCAGGGAGGCGGAGGTTGCAGTGAGCCAAGATCACACCCCTGTACTCCATCCTGGGTGGCAGAGCGAGACTCCATCTCAAAACAAAAATAAAGTATATACCTACTTTGCGGAAAACAGAAACTTTGTGGTTGCTGAATACTGAGACATTACTCTCTTTTCTGGTGACTCATTCTGGTAATTCAGTTTATCTCTTCTGATAATTCTAATGCCTATCTTTTCCCACTGTTATAAAGCTATGGCTTATTGGTGGCCTCTGTCTTGTCATTTCTGAAGCAGTAGTTAAGTGCATGGACATAAGAGTCACTTAGCCTGTGTTTGTATTGCAGCTTTGCTATTTTTAGCTAGCTGTCTCCACTTCAAAGTAGAAATAATACTTTTCCAGATTTTTAAAATTATTTGTGGGATAACATCTAGTACCTGGCACATCATACTTGTAACAATAAATAGATGAAAATACGGTGTATGTTTTCTTGTTCCTATCCCTGTTTCTAAACATAAGGAAGAAATGGATTGAATGGGTAACTTACCAGGTAATATAAGGTGCCTCTTTGGGGTAGAATTCTTATAGTAGGCCGGGTGCAGTGGCTCACATCTGTAATCCCAGCACTTTGGGAGGCCAAGATGGGTGGATCACTTGAGGTCCGGAGTTCGATACTATCCTGGCCAACATGGTGAAACCCTGTCTCCAGCAAAAATACAAAAATTAGCCAGGCGTGGTGGCATACGCCTGTGGTCCCAGCTACTCAGGAGGCTGAGGCAAGAGAATTGCTTGAACCCGGGAGGCAGAGGCTGCAGTGAGCTGAGATCACACCACTGCACTCCAGCCTGGGCTACAGGGTGAGACTGACTGAAAACAAAAACAGAACTCTTACAGAGAGATCAAACATTGACCTTTGCAATGTCATCTGTTGCTAGGATGATAGTTTTGGTAAGTTATAAAGCATGGCACCCTAAGTATAGGGAATCATCTAAGGGAACTGCTTTCTAGGTATGTTAGAGCTTCGAAAGTCATAATGAATATTTCCATTAATGTGAATTGAGTAGTTATTTTTGACATACTTAGTGATATCTTGGTATTTTTTCTTATAAGTTTAATAAGCTGCTTATATGCTATTAGCAATTAGACTTGATCATTTGATAGAATCTTTAGTTTGTAAATGTTTTCTTTCATTACCTAATTCATAGTTTTATATGGTTCTATCTTACTCTGTTTTTATTAGGATTAGGTTTTGAACTTCAAAAAATGTCCTTTGGCCTCCGTCACAGTGGTCCTGTAATTACCTAACCTATAAGTTTAGTGTTAGTAATAACTTTTTAAAAATATGGCACTGTCTGTGCATTACTGGAATGCCCTAACCTTAGTGATGGTGTATTTTTTAAATGACAGAGTTAACTGAGTTTTATTTCTTTTTAATAGATGGGATTTAGAATTGGTTTCATTTTCTTGTAGACAAAATTAGTAATAGATTTTAAATGTTTGTTACTTCCCTTCTAATTCAACTATGCACATTTTAAATTATATAGTTTTGTGGTAAGGGAACTGTGACAAACTTTTGTGGGACATGTACTTGATTGAATTTTTCAACAGATAAACTTTTACAAAAACTTGCAAATAATTTTTTTTTTCTTTCAAGGTATCCTTTGTGTGGCTGATCAGTGTCACGGCTTAAGAGAACTAGCCCTGAACTACCACTTATTGAGTGATGAGTTGTTACTTGCATTGTCTTCTGAAAAACATGTTCGATTAGAACATTTGCGCATTGATGTAGTCAGTGAGAATCCTGGACAGACACACTTCCATACTATTCAGAAGAGTAGCTGGGATGCTTTCATCAGACATTCACCCAAAGTGAACTTAGTGATGTATTTTTTTTTATATGAAGAAGAATTTGACCCCTTCTTTCGCTATGAAATACCTGCCACCCATCTGTACTTTGGGAGATCAGTAAGCAAAGATGTGCTTGGCCGTGTGGGAATGACATGCCCTAGACTGGTTGAACTAGTAGTGTGTGCAAATGGATTACGGCCACTTGATGAAGAGTTAATTCGCATTGCAGAACGTTGCAAAAATTTGTCAGCTATTGGACTAGGGGAATGTGAAGTCTCATGTAGTGCCTTTGTTGAGTTTGTGAAGATGTGTGGTGGCCGCCTATCTCAATTATCCATTATGGAAGAAGTACTAATTCCTGACCAAAAGTATAGTTTGGAGCAGATTCACTGGGAAGTGTCCAAGCATCTTGGTAGGGTGTGGTTTCCCGACATGATGCCCACTTGGTAAAAACTGCATGATGAATAGCACCTTAATTTCAAGCAAATGTATTATAATTAAAGTTTTATTTGCTGTAGTTCTGATATAATTCTACTATTTTGTGGCACAGAAATTTGATATCTTCAGTCAGTATATGTAAAGATTGTTTATCGGAAGACCCATGAATGAGTTTTGGTCAGAAAATTCCACTTGTTTCCTTAGTGTAATAGCAGTCATATCTCCGAATTTTTTTTAATGTGGTTCGGATGTGAAATAACCAGTTATACGTATTAAACAGTTTACAGTCTAAAGGAAACAAAACCTATATGTTATAATATCCAAGAAGTACTAATAGGTTTTCTGAAATGTTATATTCTCTATGCATTTAAAAAAAAATGTAAACTTGACATTTTAGGGTCTTCAGTTACACATACACCTGTTATAAGGTGTTTAATATAGCTCAGGAAAGTGAGCATTTTGTGAGAAAAATGAATATATCATATCTAATGGAAAAGATTGGATGAATGTTCTCAAATGTTACAAAGCTGTTTAAAGAAAAAGGTATATATAAGTAATCAGAACACTTAGAAGACTGATAGATGTCACACAGTGGTATTATAGAAGGATAATACAGAGCCAAGATCAAATTAAAAGACAATAAATGGAACAGAAGGGAGGCAGTGTTTAGCTTTGTATAAACTTTTAGGTTTGCTCTGTAATCTGCTAAACCATATACATTCTTTTGTGATATGTTATTATGTATGTGGCACTTGAGGCACTGTATGTAAAGTAAGGAATGCTTTACTAGTTCTCCTTGGTTTTATCTTTGTTTAAACTAGCTTTAAAGTATTAAACAATAATTGAAATGAAAAGCTTACCTATTTTAAAAAGCCAAATTTAAATAAATATAGAACTTTAAAATGTTTATCAGTTGTTTCCATGAAAGAATATTAGTTTCCAGTAAATTTTAGTGATGGCTCACTCACTTTTCTATTTTGGAATTACATAGTTATGTAAGTAAAATTTTTAAAAATCATAAAGGGAGCACCATTGTACAGTCTAGCATAAACAGCAAATTTTAAAGAGGACATATTTAAGTTCATAATCATATTTTTCAGTAAATATTGCTCAGTGAACTGGAAAACTTTAATAGAAAAATGTCTGCAGTTTTGTGATTGTTAATTTGGTTAAACCGATATTTTATATTATTTAAGTTAGGTAACATTTTATATTACTTTCATATGAATAAAAGTAATCCATGCATTGTAGAGTCTATAAAATGTTGAGTTTTAAAAGATGATATAAACTTTGATGCTGGGCACTAGTGCTAGTAGATATTACTACCCTCCTGAGGGAAATCAGAAATGATTTAACCCCGGTGGAATACATTAATTCTTAAAGCGGCTCTTTTCAGTGGTGTGACTTTTAGATTGTGTCTCAGTGGTTGAGGAAGCTAACAGTCTTAGATCTACTTTTAAAACGGATGGCCTTCTTAAGAATAAAGCAAAAGGTGATTTTCTACATAATTTTTGCTTTCCAAAAGTGATGATATGCTCTCCTACAGCAACATATGAGAAGAAAAAAGGCTTATCTAGATTCGAAAATTAACAGCAATTATAGTAATATATCCCCTCCTTCTAAATAGTAAAAAGCTCTGATTGTACAAGAATTACCTGTGCTAGTCAAGTTGTTGTTTTTCCTTGAACAACTTTGGAAAAATGGATTTGACAGTACATAATCAGTTCTACTAACCAAAGCTTGTATTTGGAAATTTACTTTTTGTACAAATTGAATTATATAATGCTTAAAATACTTTGTCACTTTATAAGCAAAATGCATAGTACTTAATTTGTTTATACTGTAAAGTATATGTTAAATGCTTTTATCACTTTGAGAATAAAAAGTTACTAATGCTGTTGTATTTTACTTTTTAAAAACTACACAAACATTTGACTTTAAACTTAAAAATGTTTCAAATCCATATTTGATGGATATAATATTTAATATTAAACAATGTTTATGATAGACTCGCCTTTTTGAAGATACAAGGTTAGGCTCATGGAATCTATTCTTGAAATAAGCTCTGATGCCTAAAGAAATAGGAAATTTAAAACCTACCATGAAATATAAATTTTTAAATTTTTATACAGAAAATAATAGGTTCTTTCTGCATTCAGAATGAGAACTTATAAAACAGATTATTTAGACATAGAATCAGTCTTTAAGGGTCCTTGAACCCAACCAGTCTTTTTAGAGATAAATGTCTTTATATAAATTAGAATAGTTTTTCAACTATTGAAATTATTTTCATTGTTTTACTGGCTTTCAACTTATCTTGGTAATTTGGGCTGTTGTAACCATATCAGAAAAAATAGGTATGATTGAAGATTAAGTCAATTTAGTGCATTTTAAGAACTTTAGGCTGAAAGGAAGACGTTCATGTGAAGAAGGTTCAAGCCTCCACTAGGTCCTTTAAAATTTTTTTTTTTTACACTAGGTCCTTTAACACACTATAATTTCTACCCCACACATAGATAGTAATGAGCTTTGCACAGACTCCAACCCCAGTTTGTGGGGCTGGTTTTAATTTTACCAGGCAGGAAAATTCCAGCTGCTTGCTGACACCCAACTTTAAAAAGGGCACAAAGCCTTTTACTCCGAAAGTGAAGTAAGAGCTTATCCTTAGAATAATCAGTCCAATAAAAGGATAAATAATCCTAACTTGTTTTAAGTAGGAGACAAAATTTTGAAAGGAAGGTTTGAAGAGCAGGAAACCACTTGGATAATAAAGGGTAAATATGACGAAGATGCTGGAAACACTTTGGCCAGCCTGTTTGCCTTTGTGAACAGGGAAAAAGCATGTGTGTAGTTTTGGAACATCACTCTTTGTATAGCCTGCCAACTATTTAAAAAATAAAACATCTTACAGGAACTATAATTCCAGGTAATTCATTAAGTGCCACCACAGCAGACCATAAAACTGGATAAGACTTCCTAAGACTTGATTTTTTTCTCCAATTTTTAAGGAGCCACCAATATTGAGGGTTCCAAATAAAGTTAGTAGGTTTCTTCACTGTGTTTTCCTCTACATGCAACAATATATTAGATGACACTTTGTGGGTATACTTACTTAACTAATTTTGTGCCAGATTAATGAGGAGATATATTCACTCTAAAGCCCTAGTCAGACTAAAAATGTATAAATTTTATACATCTACAACATTTTTTTGAGACGGAGTCTCACTCTGTTGCCAGGCTGGAGTGCAGTGGTGCGATCTTGGCTCGTGGGAACCTCCACCTCCTGGATTCAAGTGATTCTCCTGCCTCAGCCTCCCAAGTAGCTGGGACTACAGGCATGCTCCACCACAACCAGCTAATTTTTGTATTTTCAGTAGAGACGGGGTTTCACCATGTTGGCCAGGCTGGTCTCGAACTCCTGACCTCAAGTGATCCGTCCACCTTGGCCTCCCAAAGTATGTGTTAGGATTACAGGCATAAGCCACCGCACCCAGCCTACATCTATAACAATAGCAAAATAGAAACTGCATTTAAGTTGTACTTAAGTTATAATTAAAGTAAATCACATTAAGTCATATTGCTCAAAGGGCAGCAAAACTTAATTGGCAGATTTCTGCGTGGCTATGTTTTGGTTTCTCAACTACTATTTTGAAAGCATGTTCTTGAATCATCTTCACCTGAAAGCTCTACATCTTGTAAGTAGAGCTGACAGGTTTAATTCTTAAGAAATACTTTTGTAAATGTTAATGCTGTCTGTGCTGTAGTTACCTGACTTTATGATGCTTTCTGTCTTCATTTAATTAAGATTCTTAGGAACAATGAAAAATCTTGAATGCTTTTTTTTTGAGACGGAGTCTCGCTCTGTCGCCCAGGCTGGAGTGCAGTGGCGCCATCTCAGCTCACTGCAACCTCTGCCTCCTGGGTTCAAGTGATTCTCCTGCCTTAGCCTCACGTGTAGCTGGGATTACAGGCATGGACCACCACCCCTAGCTTTTTTTTTTTTTTTTTAATTTTAGGAGAAACGGGGTTTCACCACATTGGCCAGGCTGGTCTTGAACTCCCGACCTTCAGTGATCCTTCCACCACCTCAGTTTCGCAAAGTGATAGGATTACAGGCGTAAGCCACTGTGCCTACTCAAAAATCTTGAATGCTTTTTTCACATAACTATTAGAATCTTGTTTAAAAGTTCCAGGTACAGATATCCTCATTTGTTTTCCCTGCATAACCAAGTTCTTTGATTTGCAGTTGACCAAAACTTGGTACAAGAATCTTTGTCTCTTCAAGGCAGTTCTGGAAATCCAAAATCCTGTAGTTTTTCCAGAGCAATTTCCTGAGTTTGGTAGAAGTTCGTGTTGCCTGAGTTTAGCCACTAGATGGTGATAATGCACAGATCCAAGTTTTCTTGTAACATTGTGAAAACAATTAGCAGGTTAAAGAGGCAGTATTAATTTGGAATATTTAGGCATTATTATAAGGAGTCGACAGGCTAAAGGAGGCGTGAAAGAAAGTTCTCCCTCTGTATTTGAGGAAGATATCTGGTGACTGGGTTATTTTCAGACTGTTGTGGGACTACAGTTGAAAAAAAAAAACCCAGCAAAAATGAATTCCTAGACAAAATAAGACCAAAGACACATAAAATACAAGCTCCAATTTTTTTAATTAGACCCAACAGAAACAAAAACACTCCAATAAATTGTTTATAAAAGCTTCCTGTCAGTATCTGTACTTATTTCCTCACAGACCAGTAACATCTGGTTGGCAGGCACTGGTCTGAGGACCACACTTCGGTGCTAAAAGCCTGTACTATAGTGCATCCAATTCAGTCAGCAGAACCGGGGTTCAAGACCTGACTTCATTACTACTAGCTGGATAGCCAGAGAAAGATCACTTAGCCTTTCTAAGGTCCACTTTACTCATTTGGATCAGGTTAATTATATCTATGATTAAGCTTTCTGTGAGAGCTCAATAATAATGTACTAACCTCTCAGGAAGTACTTGAAAGTTGAAACTGAATCACATAATTGGTACATTTACATATTAAACGTGAATTGTTTTATCTGATATCTACTCCATCTTCTTACTGAATGGTGTTTTCTCCTTGAATAGAAACGTGTTCAGTTGATCATCAAATACTTAAAGGACCTTGAAAGCTTGTCTGGCTCTAATTAAAGCACAGCTACTTGGTGATCTTAACAGAAACCTGTCCTCTCTCGGAGAAGTGCAACCTCTTCCACTGCGCTGACAGCTTTGTGGGAAGAGGGAGAACTACAGGAAACAATGAAGAAGTCAGAAGGTGCCTGTTTACCCAAACGTGTCTGCAGCCATGTTCCTGCATACCCCGGTTAGAAGAACCGCTGAAGCACTATGCTATCAGCTTAAAATCTAGGTGACTACAAAACCCTGGAAAGTTTGGCACATAAACTACATTAGGCAAGATCAAGGATGACATTTGTTCTTTGATTAATCATTATCACTGCCATTCAATGTGACCTGCCAAACATACACAACTTACATCTTTACAGCAATCCTAAATCCTAAGATTTAGTGATGTTAGTATGCTTAAAGAACACAAGCCAGTTACTAGCTAGTTCCAAAATCTCAGCCAGAAATATGTGTTAACACTGGATTTGCCACATCTAGAAGCACAATCACTCCAGTTATGGTGTCTAAACGAATGTCTAAAGTTAGGTGAATGGAATGTAATCAGACTATACTAAACTTGGTTCCAAAAGTTATAGAAGTTGTAAAGTTAGTCTAAACTAAAGCACTTAAGTGAAAAAGTGTAACTGCCATATCAGAAAGAAGAGCTCCCACCATGAAAATGTCACTGAATGTATTTTTTATTTTTGAAGGTATTTTTAAAATCTGGGCACACCATATCTATCTGTAGGACCCTGGGTCCAAAGGTCCTACATAACTGATATGAACCATAATTCTCCATATTAACAAAGGCTCGGAAATTGAAACCAAGATCACCTAACTCGCTCACTTTGGCCAATATAGTACGAATTTCAGCTTCTTTACAAGAGAAGAGTCCTGAGATGTTAATATGCAGCAATTCTGCTGATGTGCATTTTAACTTTATGCACCAAGGAAGAAAGGCTAAGGAATTCACAAAAGTAAAATCACCCCCTGAAAAACAGATGCTGGTGATTGGAGAAAAAAGAGCAGTAGAATTAAGGTGTTTTATAAACCAGAGAGTGTTTTGTTTCTGATAGGTAAAGGGATTTCTTCATATGTTATTTTAATAAAAGGGAATTTCATAGGTAAAAACCAATATTCAAAATTATAAAACAAATAGAACTGTTTGTGCACAATCACTGCATCAAAAATTTGCAAGAGACTCAACAGAAATTCTTTAGTTGGCAAATGTGGTTTGAAGGGGTAATAAAATCTTTTTATGGCTAAACCAAGAGTCTTGTTTCCTGTTGGCCCAAAAACAGATGTTTCATTTCCCAGATAAGTAGGTTCTCCACTGTAAAGAAATATTCTTGTATAGTTGGTTTCTATGTTCTTGAACTCTGCTCCAAATTCAGCCAACTTGTTAAAGGTCCTTAACACAAATTTGGAACAGTCGTAGGAATCAAACCATGTCTCTGCCCCCTTTTCTGGGCTGGCTTTTACATTCCATGTCTCATAATAAATTCCTGTTTCATTGTCCTGTTTCACCCACTTTGCCATTTGGTTGAACATGTTTCCTAGTTTAAAAAAACAAAACAAAGTCACCTAG
The DNA here is from genome assembly GCF_000001405.40 of Homo sapiens. Taxonomy (NCBI): domain Eukaryota; kingdom Metazoa; phylum Chordata; class Mammalia; order Primates; family Hominidae; genus Homo; species Homo sapiens. The sequence goes on along the minus strand of NC_000013.11, from coordinate 77,000,425 downwards.
TGAACAAAGCTAATCATGTTAATTTTTTTTTTTTTTTTTTTTAAGACAGGTCTCCCTCTGTTGCCGAGGCTAGAGTGCGGTGGTAACATCACAGCTCACTGCAGCCTTGACCTCCTGGGCTTAAGTGATCCTCCCACCTCGGCCTCCTGAGTAGCTGGGACTACAGGCGCTGGCCACCAAACCCAACTAATTTTTTAATTTTTCTTTTTTTTAATTTGAGACCAGCCTGGGCAACACGGGGTCTTGCTGTATTGCCCAGGCTGGTCTCAAATTCCCAACCTCAAGTGATCCTCCTGCTTCAGCATTCTAAAGCACTGGGATTATAGGTTTGAGCTACCATGGCTGGCCTAATCATATTAATTTTAAGTAAAATGTTCTAACTTGATTAAGACTGGATGCCTGAGTAAACAATGGTTTTGAATTTCCACACCTGCATTTCACAACAGGAATCCAAGCTCAGCCAATTTTATTCCATTCTTCAAGGCACAAGATATTTCTGAATTATAAACATTAGATATAATAGGTGTATAAGGAGAAGTCATCTTACATACTAATTCTATAATCATTTAAGCTATAGTCAAAGCGAAATTATACAAATGCAGAAGCTCTCTTTCTCTACCCAACTCACCAAATCTTGGATTCAGAGGCAAAAGAGAAAAGGAAAGCACAAAAAGAATTGCGAAAGAGGAAAAGCAGAATGGGCAAAGACAGTGTAAGGAAAATGGAGGTGTGGGAAATGTGGAGCTTCACTGTTGCAAAGCATGCTACACATAAAGTATGAATGGCTGCCTGAGGAGCCACTGCTCTAGAAGGCTGGCTATTACTGTTATGAGAACAAGCACCATACCCCATCCACCTTGTGTGTTTGGTACGTTTCTTTCTTCCCTGTACTTGGAGTTGCTGGGATGCTGCTGATGACCTCTCCACCTGCCACGTTAAGTCCTTCCAACAAATCAACTAAACTGGAAATGTTTTAGGCCGAGTTCATACTCCAGGATGGCTAACCCTCTCTTCTACCATCTTGTACTAGACCAGAAGAATCTTTCCAAATATTCAGAAAACACTACTCTGCATGGTTACAACTCTCATCTTGGGCATTTATAATGCCTAATAGAACTGGGCCCCAAACACTGCATCCTGTCACTGTGTGCAAACCTCTTTGGTTACTCCAACTTGAGTCCATAAAATAAATACTTCATGTTCTGTAAAATGAATAGAGTGACTGCCTTTATCAATTTTATGGAATTAAAATTGTAGAACAGAATAAAGCCTGTTGTATTAGAACTGGGGATACTGTTCTTAGCATTCTTCAACTTTCAAATGCCACCACTATCCTTATGAGACAAGAATGCTTCAAAACACTATTTTGTCAATCACAGGATTATTCACAAGGCAAATAAATGACTTAAAAGATTTAAGTACTGGCATATTTTGAACTATTTTACAAAAAATAGTGATCACTTATTCATATGATCATTGACTTTATGTCAGAAGGAAGGATTTTCAGATAACGATGTAGGTGGAAATGGGGAAAGGTGTGAACTGGCCTGGAATGAAAGAAAGAACCGCTAATGATGGACTTTTGTATTGTTGGTATGGTTTAAGGCACATTGATTAGAAAGTAGCAGGAAATATTAGAAAACAACATGGTGCATTCGGCTAACAGATCCTTGTTACATTTAAAAGACCTCAGTTTTATTCCTGATTCTGCTACATCCAGCTCTTTGACCTTGAGAGGCAAGTAAGTCATGTTACCTGGCTGAGCCTCAATTCCTTATTTGCAGAGAATGAGTATCTTATCCTCTCCACTGAACCGTGAGTTAACATACCTCCAAATCATTTGTAAAGAGCTATACAAATAGGAAGCATGATTACTTCCTCAAGTCCTGGGGTTCACTGAATAATTATTGTCACAACAGTGCTTTCATTTCAGATGTTTCTACTGTTCTGGGGAACAGCAATTTATAATGTAATGCTTCATAAATCATATGGACAAGCTCCTTACTTCTCAAATGCTATGGTATATTGTCTCCATTTTGCACATGAGGCAACGGGCCAATAAGATATAAAATGTGACCCAAGTCACATAAGGAGTTACCAATGAAAGGATTGCTGAACTCTTTTCATTACTAACCAACAATGCAGCACTTGCAACACAATTCCAACTTTCAGCAACTTTCCAATACATCCAAAAGAAGAAAAAAATCTCAAAGATAAAATATTTAAACTGCTCAAGAGGGTCTCAAATATAAGATCATATACATTTTGGGAGGCAATGTATCAAAGTAGTTAGGAGAATGGGCAATGGGGCGTAACTGCCAGGGTTGGAGTCCCACTTACTAAGCTGTGTAACTTTAACCTCTCTGTGCCTCAGTTTCTCCATCTGTAAAATAGGCAAAATAATAGTTACTACCTCCAGAAGTTGTGATGATGAATGATGTGATGTATGTACAGTACTCAGAACAGTGCCAGAACCAGTCTATATTAGTAGCTATTATTTTTCAACATAAAAATATCATCACTAAAATTTTTTTCAGATATAGTTAACATATCCTTTAATCAGGCATTTTATGGATTTCTCTTACTATTTCGTTTAGAAAGACCAATTTAATTGTACAAAATGTTTTATCATTTTATTCATTTTTATGATGGGAAAAGAGCATTTTTAGGGAAACATTCAAAGATCAGAGATAAGCTACTCATCACCAACAGGTGAAGTTCTGCATGAGTAATAGTTTGGGTCAGAGTTTAGTGGTTCCACCAAAAGCAAATGCAACAAAAACAAATATAAATAGATGAGACTTAATTAAACTAAAAAGCTTCTGCACAGCCAAAGGAACAATCAGCAGAGTAAATAGACAACCCACAGAGTGGGAGAAAATCTTTGCAATCTATACATCTGACAAAGGACTAATATCCAGAATCTACAAGGAACTCAAATCAGCAAGAAAAAAACAATCCCATCAAAAAGTGGGTTAACGGCCGGGAGTGGTGGCTCACACCTTTAATCCCAGCACTTTGGGAGGCCAAGGTGGGCAGATGACCTGAGGTCAGGAGTTTGAGACCAGCTGGCCAACATGGCGAAACCCCATCTCTACTAAAAATACAAAAATTAGCTTGGCATGGTGGCGGGCGCCTGTAATCCCAGCTACTTGGGACGCTAAGGCTGGAGAATCGCTTGAACCCAAGAGGTGGAGGTTGCAGCAAGCTGAGATTGTGTCATTGCACTCCAGCCTGAGCGACAAGAATAAAACTCCACCTCAAACAAACAAACAACAACAACAAAAAGGCGGGGTGGGGGTGGCTAAGGACACAAATAGACAATTCTCAGAAGATATACAAATGGCCAAGAAACATGAAAATGCTCAGGGAAATGCAATGATCAGGGAAATGCAAATCAAAACCACAATGTAATACCGCCTCACTCCTGCAAGAATGGCCATAATCAAAAAATAAAAAAAAATAGATATTGGCGGGATGTGGGGGAAAGGGAACACTTCTTCTCTGCTGCTAGGAATGTAAATTAGTACAACCACTATGGAAAACAGTGTGGAGATTCCTTAAAGAACTAAAAGTAGAACTGCCATTTGATCCAGCAATCCCAGTACTGGGTATCTACCCAAAGGAAGAGAACTCATTATACGCAAAAAATACTTTCCCATGCATGTTTATAGCAGCACAATTTGCAACTGCAAAAATATGGAACCAGCTCAAATGCCCATCAATCAATGAGTGGATAAAGAAAATGTGGTGTATATATACCAAGGAATAATACTACTCAGCCATAAAAAGGAATGAAATAATGGCATTTGCAGCAACCTGGAATAATGGTCTCCAATTCCATCCAAGTGAAGTAACTCTTCAGGAATAGAAAACCAAACATTGTGTATTCTCACTTGTAAGTGGGAGCTAAGCTATGAGGATGCAAAGGCATAAGAATGATTAACTTTGGGAAGTCGGGGAAAAGGGTCGGAGAGGGGTGAGGGATAAAAGACTATACATTGGGTACAGTGTACACTGCTCGGGTGATGGGTGCGCAAAAATCTCAGAAATCACCACTAAAGAACTTATTCATGTAACTTAACATAACCAGTTCCCCACAAACCTATTCAAATAAAATAAATAAAAAATACAAATAAGAGATGAAAAAAATTCCCAAAGTTTAATGGTTCCAAAAGTACATTTTACAAATGACCTCTAAGTAAAACATTACTGAAATGTTTCAATGGAAGTATAACAATTTCTTTCATTTGGTTTTTGATGCAATGATCAAATATTGCTATATTTTCACAACTTACCTGATATAGTTGCTACTTGAACTAATGTCCCATTTTCCTTCCAGTGAACATCATCAATTCCCTCAAAAAAGCAGGCAGCGCCTTGATTACACCAGAAAGGGGCATCCATTTCAGGTCGGAGATGGGGAAATGTACAGTTGCCAAGTTGGAAAAGTTCATACCATTCCATTGTGTAGTTCTTGCCAGTTAATGTACTTCTGAATCCAATGGCATCATGCATAATTTTCTGTGTAAAGACAGTACATGTATAAAAGCAACTGTGACACAACCATGGGTCCAGGTAACCTGATAGGAGAAAATGTGGCACATCACAAATGCATATCAAGTAGAACAACTGTTCAGCTGTTCTTCCATGCTGCTACTGTCATATCCACTCTGTGGCCCCAAACTCCAGGCCCTCATCCACCCCAGCTTTGGCCACTACACCCCTATTTGGCTCATCTCAAATAGGAGGCCTGCATGTTATGTGGACAAGCTGATAATTTCCTTAGAGCTTAGAATAAGTGTGAGGAGCCCCCATGCCAGTCTCTGGAAGCAGCTCTACAGACCTCACATGGTGATGGGTTAACCTGGAAAAGTGACTACAACAGAGTATGGAAATCAAGAGGTGTTACCTGCCTGCCCTGCCACTTCTGGGCCTCTTCTCACCTTCCAGGAGCTAGGTACAGGAGCTGGTTTCAGATTCATAATATTACAATGGATAATGGTGATTACATTTGTTGTTGTCAAGATTACAAAATCTGATAGTAACTATTTTTGACTACTCATTTTAAATGTACTAAGACAAACACCAACATGATCTAAAGTCAGCCATCTAAATAGTGATTACTCCTTAAAAATCAACTTAATAACCAAATCATTGAATTAACCAAAGTTATAAGACCAAGATGCATCCTTACCAAGTGTCCCAGGAGGTCTCCATATTTAAATTCCCATACTGGGGCTTGTAATCGAAAAACTTCAATGTCATCATCACCCTCCATAACTGGGATAGGTGAGCCAGTTGGACAGAAAGTATACTTAGCTTGACAATAAGGATCAGGTTTTGGACGGAAGTCAAAGCGCCTAATAAAGAAAAAGAAACCATCTACTTAGATTCTAAAATGAATCTGATTCTTCTCACGTCTTTTAGAATCCAGTAACATTTTTAGGGGACCATTCAAAGGTCGGACCATAGTTAATAAATATAAACACACATTTTGTTATCTTGTGAACAAACTTCCAATAATGTTTTTAATAGCAAATGATAAACTAAAAGCACTCTGATAAATACGGGCTTCCCTGTTCCCTGATCCCACTGTGAAAATTTTGAAGACAGGAATTTTGTCTTAAAATTTTTATAGCTCCAGATCATAGTAGACATTTGCAAATGTTTACAGAATAAATGAACATTTTTCCAATGTGTTCAATTTTACAAACAGTCCATACATTAAGATTATTCAGATAATTATGAGTAACAGAATACATTTTATATTTACTTACGAATTAACATTCATTCAACCAATATTTATTGAGGCTCCACTACATATATAGTGAACTATAGTAAGAAGGAGGGAAACAAAAATTAAAACACTGTTCCCTTTCTCATGGAACTGTGGGTGGGAGCTGGAAAGACACTGAACAAGTAATGAGTGTGGTATGTGCTAGACTAAAGGAATGAGTCCTATGGGCACACAGGAAGGACAAATCATTGTTAACCAGGTATGGGATGAATGGGGTGGGGAGGGCAAAGAAAGAGATGAAGGCCGGGCCTAGGTTTTTAATGTAGTTGATTAGAAGGTTAAGACAGAAAGGCAGAGGAAATGTTAAGTATTGTAAGACAAGCCTGGCACATTTGGTCTCCGGTAGGTACGGAAGACTGGATTTCAGGCCTCGACGCAGGAATGGAGACGGAAGAGACTGGCAGGGGCTGTCATTTTGTCACTAGGAGAATGTGCATGGAATTCCCTGCCTTATAATTGGGGAGGGCTAAACTTAAAGGATGTTAAGTAGCAGATCTGACAGGACTGAATTTGCTATAAAGTAAACCTTATTTCACGAATTAAAAGAGGGTATGGAGAGAGGCCAAATAAAACATGAGAGATCAGTTAGAAGGTGACCTCAACAATGCAGGCAAGAAAAGAAGACCGGAGAAGGCCACAGCAATAGGACTCGAGGGGCACTGCAGCTGAATTCAGCTCAACAGACACACTGGTCACCTATAATCTGGCACTGGGAAAGAAAGAAGTGGTGGCGACAACAGCTTCTATCTAAGAATCCTAGATCCCCAAGGTTGTAGCCAGATCTAACAAATCTTAACAAATCAACAAAAATTTCTATTTTAACTTAAGAAGTTAAAATCTTTATGCTAATCGAAACTATTAACGACGCTCCCAAAAGTTTCTGCTACTTGGGTACAGTGTTTTATAGGCACTTACCTGGTTTAAACAAATACATAATCACATGGAGATTTCACTGACACAGCAAAATCTATTTTAGTTCAAAGGTAATTTAAGTGTGAACTTAATAAACTTAAATATTATATTCAATTGAGGGAATTAGATGGGAGCACGTACTTAATATCTGAGACTTAAAAAAAAAATCCACTAAAAAGCCATAGTCAACACCTTGCCCTAATGTTAAATCAAATCGTTTGGATTTACAATTCTTGTTCTATTGAGTAATTTTGACTTCTTACAAACATTTTATTATTAACATTTTCCAGAAAACTAGCTTCAACCACAAACTTCTCTTTCCACGTAGTATATCACACAAAACAAAAAAGTGTTGTAAACATTTCAGTGAGCAGAATACACTATCTAGGTTTGACAACAGCTGGCATTTTACTAGATTTAATCCTTCCAGCAAACCTATGAGGTACGTGCTACCACTATTCCTATTTTTTGACTCAGGGCATGTGGGCACAGAGATTCTGAGTAACTTTCCCAAGATCCCTGGTGATGACAGAGCCAGATTTGACCCGCAGCAGGCAGAACTCCTTCCCACTCATACTGTCATACAAAATAGCTGTTTTTTTCAGGTTTGTTGTGTGCAGTTTTAGCTGTTGATTACTTATGCTAGTAAGTTAAAATTATGTCCAATGATGCTTTTGGTTTAAAGAAAAATAGCTGTTTTCAAAAACTGCTGGTCTTTCTCCTGCCTGATGTTGACACCATGTTTTCTTTCTCTGTGTTTAGCTATCTCTGACCGCCGGAGGCTGTGTCTTCTCTGTCAAAGGCTGGAATCGACCTCCCAGGTGTGCGGGCTCTGTCCCCGACTTAGGACCGGCGTCCTACCTCCAGGCTGAAGACTGGACAAAAGCGGTGACAATCTTCCCGGTCTAACCAGGACTGCAGGAGACGGGGATTCCCGGGATGCGCGACTTTTGAGGGCAAAACTGGGAAGTCCCAATAAGGACTTCGGATCAGGTTCTGATCAGGTTCAAACCAGAGCGAGTTGGTCGCCCAGTAAATTGTACCAAATGTTCCGCGGTAATAACTAACGACAGTGCATGATATAAATAAATGCGATAGACAGTGTTTTTAAACTACTCAAGAAATCAGCTACTTGTACCCAGAAGTCCCTCCATTAAATAACATTACTCTCCTTTTCTTCTTCCACGATTCAGGACTGTCCTGAGTCTGCCGCAAGTGACCAGAGGGGACGAAAGGTCCCAGGGCTGCACGTAACGAGCGGCTGCGACTCCCCAGTCCTCAACTTTGCTCTCAAGTGCGCTCCGAGCGTCACCCGGCGCTGTCCCCGCACCATCTCGTGACCCGACACAAACCACGGTGAGCAGGGGTCCCCGCCCCAGCACCCCATCCCCCATCGTCAACGCCGACCCCAACCCCGACAGTGCGCGCGCCGCCGCACTCACTTGTAGGGCACCGGCCAGTGGCGCCGGGAGGGGATGCCCGAGACCCGGGACCAGCCCGGAACCACCGCGAGCCAAAGCAGCGCCAGGGCCCAGCACCAGGAAGCGCGTCCCCGAGCCGCGCCCGCGCCCCGCCGCATCTCGGCGCCCTGTGCCGTGTCTACCTCCTGCGCCATCAGGCTGCACCCAGTACTTCCGGAGCCTCTCGAGGCCTGCGACGCCGGTGGGAGGAGCATGCGCGGAGCCGCCAGTCCGGGACGCGGGGCGCCTTGCCCCTGCGCGTCAGCTCCAGAGCTTGGCCCCAAGCGCAGGTTCCGGCGCATGACACCTCCCCGCGCCCGGCCCGCGGCGGCTTCCACACTTTGCAGTCCAGGAAGGTGCTTTGGTCTGGCTCCCAGGAGAATTCGATCCAGACCTGGGGCGTCATCTTTTATGAATTGACCTGTCCTTGCCCAAAAGCCACCACCAAAACCAAAAATCTGTCACCGGGGCTCCTCCCAACACCGAACTTTTACCCCATCCCACAGGGCCCACGCTAGGTGTCAACAAACGTTGAGTGAACGAGAATGTGTATTTGGAGCTGAGGGTGCAGGGCTGGGGGTGCAGTGAGGAAGAAGGGACAATAGTGCGGAAATGGCTCGTCGTCACCCGACCTGGGCCAGTCATAACAGTGGTTAACACTGACAATATGTGGTCCCTGCCACTCCCCAAGTGCTTAGTGGGGAAATGACTCGTCCTCACTCGACCTGGGCCAGTGATAACAGTGGTTAACACCGACAATATGTGGTCCCTGCCACTACCCGAGTGCTGCCGAATCTACCCCCTCCCCTACCGCTCCCCTCACAGGCAGGTGTTCCTTGCTTGGATCTGTCACTTCACTGGAAAGAAGTTTCTGCATCACCTTCTCTTCTTTGACTCTTCAACTAGGTCAAGAAAACAATGGCATCAATTACCCGGCTTTTGAGGAGCCTCTTGTGGCATGCTTTGCTGTTAGGCACAAATACTGACTTAAGTCTATACGTAGTACATTCAGGGCCTTGCCATAGTCACTTGTTTTTACCAGACAGCAGTTTTGCAGGGCCTTAGACCGGGACTTTCCAATTCCTTCACTTCACCCACAACTCGTGTGAAGCATCATAATGTTTGTAAGCCTATGGGAATAAGCAAGGTGGCTTCGGTAGCCGGAGATGACCACCACAATCCATTGGAGGATATGTAGCTTGTGGGGGTGTCACTGACTTCCTTGGGCCCTCCAGGTCTCTTGATTACATATGGGACTCAGTACCCTGCCCCAAACACACACTCCTTTGCCCACTTGCTGCTCCAGGTTTGGGGGTTTTGCGGAGGTTCAGGCTGGGCTGCATTTTACCATACGTTTGTCTAAGCGTTTTGATAGCTACCTAGCTCTCCTCCGTATACTATGGCCAAATTCAAAATTACCAAGGCTAAACTGGCTTCTTCAAAGACCTGCCCAAGATAAGAGGGGGAAGCATTCTAGCCCTGAGAGCTGAAATGTAATGTCTGATTTGAAGGGCACCTGAAGGATTCCGTGGCCCCACACTTGAGCCTAGCTTAAAAAGCAATCAGCAGGAACAGCTTTAAAAAAAAAAAAAAACATTGATTAGAGCATTTACAAATCCTGGAACCATACACAGTATGATGTATGAGGGCCACAGTAGATGGCCTCAACAACCAGAGCCTCCGTGGCTGCCTGGAGAGCGGTGATGCAGGCAGCAGCTTCATGAGATATTTGCAGTTTAATCCAGTCATCTGCAAGCACAATCTGCCCATCAGATTGGACTTTCTTGGAGGCAAAGAGAAGCAACTGCAGTGGGGTGACTAAAGTCATGCCTTTAGCAGAGATGGCTCGAGTTCAAATCTTTTCACCAAATACAAAGAAGGGAGATAGGTACTTCATGTCTTGGCTACTAAAAGGACAATTAACAGTAGATGGTTCCAGGTTCCATCTACTGTTAGTAGAGGGCCACAGTAGAACCTCCCATTCAGTTCAGGACTTCCCAGAGCTACAAAAACAAATTCAGGTTGACCTTGTTCAGTGGTGGAGGCCTCTGGTCTTGCTTCTGCCATCTGTCTCTTCATTCTGTGTGCAGGGAGCTTTCATGGTAAGAAAGCACTTCCTAGTATTGGTTTTTATTTTTTATTTTTTTGGAGACGGAGTCTCCTTCTGTCACCCAGCCTGGAGTGCAGTGATGTGATTTCGGCTCACTGCAACCTCCGCCTCCCGGGTTCAAGCAATTCTCCTGCCTCAGCCTCCCTAGTGGCTGGGTACAAGTGTGTGCCAGTTGTAATTTTTTTTTTTTTTTTTGGTAGAGACGAGGTTTCACCATGTTGGCCAGGCTGGTCTCGAACTCCTGACCTCAAGTAATCCACCTGCCTCGGCCTCCAAAAGTGCTGGGATTACAGGCTGTAGTCACCATGCCTGGCCCTAGTATTGGTCTTAACTCAGCCTCCTGGTAGCTCCCATTCTTCTGGTCTGGTTTTGCCTTGGATGGGAACACTGATTAAACCCCATTCTTTTTGTCTATGACCCCACACCCCAAGCTGAAGGTGCTCATAGATTATCGCTGGTCGATACTGGTTGCTTCCCCCTTGTCCATGGCTTTTAAATCTTGAGGGCCCACAGACAGAACTAATTTCAATCTAATTGGTTTCCCTTGGATCCTTGCCCATTCAGCCTAAGACTGCCTGGACCACATGGCATCTCCCCAGATAGAGTGATAGGATTCTGGGGAAGTGTGGAGTTGAGATGAAATTTAAATAAGCAGTATTTTGGTAGACTCAAAGCAAAACAAGGCTGTATGTCAATGATGGTAGTGGCTGCTCCAGACGGCCTGCTGCTGCCATCAACACACAGGCTCTAGGTCTAGACTGCAAAGTGGATGAAGGGCCTATTTCCTTGGAGACTATGAAGTTAAAATAGCGATGGAGTTTTGTGTCTGGAAACCCCTTATCAGAAGCTTGACATCTGGGTTGTAAATTGAGGCCAATTCTCTGTGTGGAATGACTGAGGTCCTTCAAGCAAAGGTGGGATATTTTATTGTTACTGATGTAATTTCAAACACGAAGTTGTCTCTAATCTATGATTTTAGAGAACAAAGTTTCTTAGTGAATAAGAAAGCAGGAAGCCAGGCAAGGTGGCATGTACCTGAAGTTCTAGCTACTCAGGAGGCTTGAACCCAGGACTTTGAGGCTATAGTGAGCTATAATCGTGCCTGTGAATAGCCACTGCACTTCAGCCTGGGTAACATAATGAGATACTGTCTCTAAGAAAAAATTTTTTTTTCGTGTAATACTTTATTTTCCATTGTATTAAATGAAAGCCAGGAAAATATCAAGTTATTTTTAAAGACAAATCTTTACTCCTTAAAGAAAAATACAAACTGTGGTATTTCTAAGATAGATCGTTACATTTTACATAATATAAACAAAATCACTAATGCATCTATATGCTTGGTTTCCTTAAGCTACAGTGAACCACAGAATGGGTTAAAATGCATTTACTTTTTGGTGGGAAATAAACATTGGAAAAAAATGTCACACATAGCATGGCTTTTTTTTTCTTACTGTCTACACACAGGAACTGACATAACCAAGCCTTAACAGATGCCACCTTCTCTTCCTTGTCCAAAGTAGCCAGTTCCATAGGCCCCCCTACCACCTCCTCGCTGGAATCCCCCAGATCATCTGTAGCCTCTACTAGGCCCTCTGTAATCTCCTCCAGAGTTGCCTCTATAGCCACCTCAGGAAACTTCTCTATAGCCTCCACCAACACCTGCACCATATCCTGCCCGACAGGAGCTGGAGCTGCCACCATAGCCTCCGCTACGATAGCCTCCACTGCTATAGCCACTGCCATAGCCTTCACTGCCATAACTAGAACCTCCCCTTCTATATCCGCTTCCATTGTCATATTGGGCCATCTTAGGAGGACCTGGACCATCTCCATACCATGTACTGCCAATCATAAGGTTGATATCAGCAGCTGAGGGTCTAGAGATTTGACGGATCATGTTCAGTATACTTTCATTTACGGGGTCCAACTGGCTGATGATAGCAGGTTGTTTGGTTACTTCAACAACCAGAGCCTCAGTGGCTGCCTGGAGAGCGGTGATGCAGGCAGCAGCTTCATGAGATATTTGCAGTTTAATCCAGTCATCTGCAAGCACAATCTGCCCATCAGATTGGACTTTCTTGGAGGCAAAGAGAAGCAACTGTAGTGGGGTGACTAAAGTCATGCCTTTAGCAGAGATGGCTCGAGTTCGAATCTTTTCACCAAATGCAAAGAAGGGAGATGGGTACTTCATGTCTTGGCTACTAAAAGGACAATTAACAGATGATTTGTGGATAAGTGCATTACACCCTTCAGTGGTGAGAATCTTTGTCTTTTCCTTATGATAGCATACATTGGGGTACACACCAAAGGCCAGGAAGAGAGATAACAACATCCAAATTATTATCTGGTCCAGTGTTAGTAAACACTTGTGTCACCAAACAATCTTCTGGAAACCCAGAATTAATCAGAATCTCTTTGAGCTGAACTTTGACTTCCCAAGTCATTCTTAGTGTAGCCATATGAAGTCTTTTGTGCGCACAAAAACGTATTTCTGCTTCTTCTCCACCCATTCTAGTATCATCTCCGGCTTGGAATACTGATAAAAGGGCTACATGATGAGAAAATCCGTTTCCAGCAAAATTTCAATGGTTGTAGCCCAGCCACTTTCCTTCATTTATAAAAGGCTCTGGAAAGCAGGTAGCAGCAGGAATGGTACAGATAGCATCTCCCACATAGAAAATACACACCATTATCATCATTTTGCCAAAACGAGGCTCAATGAGGAGGTTAGCCAGGATTCGTCCCAATGGAGTCAAATCATCATTGGCATCTAATGCATCAAGCTCTCTAAGAGTGTGTTCTGCTTCAATCACAGCATCCAAAGGGAGAGTTTCAATTGCTTTGGCCAGAAACTGGCCAATTCCAACTAGACATGGAAGTTTTATGCTAAGAGCAACTTCATGCAATGGTGTTTGGAACATCTCTGGTGTCATGTGGGTTTCAAGTCTCTCAAAACGAGCTCGGCTGCAGAGGTGAAAGCAGAATCCAGGCCGTATTCGGCCAGGTTGCCCTTTCCACTGTTCAAGGTTTGTTTTTGATCCCCATACTGTAGCATAGTTGGTCATATTGTTGTGAGTAGCAAAGAGTTTCACTTTCTGCTTGCAGGAGTCAACGACATAAACATCATTTATGATAATGCTTGTTTCAGCAATATTTGTGGACAAAATAACCTTGGTTACTCCAACTGGTACTGGATCAAACACTTTGCGCTGTTCCTGTCAAGGAATCTGAGAATGCAGAGGTAGAATCTGATACTGATGGCTTCCAAAATGTGGATTCATTTCCAAATGCTTCTGCATAGTATAAATCAAATTCCAGCCAGGCAAAAATACCAACACAGCTCTGGGAATATTAAGGGTTTCAATGTACTTAAAGAGAGCTTCGACGAGTTCAAAAGGAGTTTCTTTTTCATTCAATTGAGACATGCTCATCCTTGTTTCTGGACCATATTCATCACCACAGATCAAGTTGCAATTTGCATCATCATCCTCACCACCATCATCATCCTTGTCCTTCTTCTTGGTTTTCGGTGAAGGAACAAAGTGGGTCATCTGAATGCAGTCTTCCAGAAAATATTCTTGAACTGGGTAAGTCCTCCCATACACTTAAATGATGGGGCAATTGAAGAAATATTCACACAACATGCTGGTATCAATAGAAGTGGACATAAGAACAATGAGAACTTCAGGGTAAGCTGAAACAACTTCACGCAGTACTACCAAAAGGAAGTCAGTATTAATGTCTCTTCCATGTATTTCATCTACAATTACATGACTGATTCCTCAAATGCCTGCTTCTAATTTTCTTAGGAGCACACCTACAGTACAAAGCATTATACTGGCATGAGGACAAGGAAGTACAGACTCAAATTGAACACTGTAACCACAGCTTTTTACAGACTCTTCTCCTCTCTCAAATGCAACTCACTCTGCCATGGAAACTACACTGATTCTTCTGGGCTGAGTTACTACAATGTTACACTCTGCTGTCAGTCATTCTGGATAAAGTCATCTAGAATGAACTGGGGAACCTGCGTGGTTTTACCACATCCAGCAGCCCCTCTAATAATGACAACTGAATTTTGACTGATTGCTTCCAGAATCTCACTTTCAAATTTCTTCACAGGCAGTAACTCTCGCTCCTGCAAGATTGCTGGCAAATCATGATCCTGTTCCAACTGGTACACCAATTCATTCTTGAGGTCCAAGCTTATTTGCTCTGGAGAAGCAAAAGCCAGAGGTCCCTCAGCAATGTCGCTAGTAGTCCAAGGATTCCATCTGGATTGTGGAGGTGACCGAGGAACTATACCCACTTGGTTTTGTCACTGAGATGGTTCAAAGTGAGCCAATTTGCCAATGTTGAGTGCAACTGGCATAGAAGGATCTTCAGGCGGGGGCATAATCTCAAAATTTAGCTCTCAAATGATGTTTTGTGGCTGATGCTCTAAATCTTGAGAGAGGTTTACTTTGTAAGGTTCCACTCTCTCTCCTTCCTTCTTTGTAAGTCTGAAGTAAGCTTCAACCACTCCAAGATGGTAGAGTTGTCTGACTAGTGACAGGGCACAGGACTGTGCTGCCAATTTCTTATTTGATCCATGTTCATGTGCAGAAATCCTTCTGCCCAGCTGCTTGATGTAAATGGTTATTTCTGCAGTAAAGCTCCTGTTGTGATCAGGACCCACTTGGGTGTACTTATATTCTCCTTGGATTTTTTCTTTCTGAAAATATTGGTTTAGATGAGTTTTAGCATTTTCCAAGGTCCAGTTTCCATGAAGCCCAGCATTTAAATCCACTTCTTCTGACTCTAGAGTCGCTTGCACTTCTTGTTCTTCCTTTCTTGAGTAGTAATCCTTCAAGTTGGCTCCTTGGTCCCAGGAACACCATAGCCAGAGGCCCCTACCTCAGAATTATTTTCAGCTTTGAGAGCCAGATGTGGCGGAAGAGGACCTCCCATGGTTGTTGGTAAACCTCCTTCAGCATTTGCTGTAGTGTCAGGAATATCAGTAAGTGGGGGCAGAGATGCAACCCCAAAAAGCTGGAACTTCTTCACTCTTCATTTATTTGAACCAAATAGTTAACAAAGTCTCTGGCAGCATTGCTCTGTGCATCTTTTTTATTGGTGGAATTTCCTATGCCACTGTAATTATACCCTTCCACCTGAACCTCACACAAGAATTTCTGCCTACTTTTGTTCCCCAATGCTCTAATTTCATAGGATGGAGTCATCTTCCTTTTGCCTCACCAGGCATACAGAAAATTTTTAATATCACCCATGATTGAAGTGTCTTCTTCAGATCAGCCTATGCTTCCTGGTTCCCAGCTCTTAGGACCGTGTGGCTCTGGCCTTCCACAAAGACAACAGAGACACGCACAACAACTTCCATAAAGGACTTGGCAAAAAAAAAAAAATTAAGTAGAAAAGAAAGGAGGTTGTTATGACACTTTATGATTTACTGTGGTTTGAGAGAAGTACTGTTTTCTGGTAATTTTGAGGCTGGTTTTATCAGTCCAGGCTAATGAATACGAGGGCAGATTAAAGTCCAAGCTAATTTTTAGTTTCTCATTTACAATCTCATTTTTTATTTTAGGCGTTAAAAGCATTATTCTGAGAAGGGGCTTCACCAGTTTGCCTAAGAGCTCCGGCCCTAGACACACTAATTTCCTACTCCTTTTTTTCTTTTTGAGACAGGGTCTCACTTTGCCACCCAGGCTGGAGTGCAGTAGTGCAATCACAGTCACTGCAGCCATAGCCTCCTAGCTCAAGTGATCCTCCCATCTCTCAGCCCCTATAGTAGCTGGACTACAGGAATGTACCAACATGCCCAAATAATTTTAAATTTTTTGTAGTGATAAGGAGTCTCACTACGTTCCCAAGCTGGTCTCGAATTCCTGGGCTCAAGCGATCCTCCTGCTTTGGCCTCCCAAAGTGCTGGAATTAAAGGCATGAGCCACAGAGCCTGGCCCTGACACAAATATTCATGTAAGAGGTTAAGAAAATCTTAAAGGTAACCAAAAATTAATGAACCCCCAAAGTGTTTCTGAAACTTGGGTATACTAACCTGTTGTTTACATGATAAACTGGGCTAAACAAATACATCAACTATACGTACATCCTATTTTCAGAGTTTCGACAATTTCACTTGCCTAAAGCATCATTTATTTTAGTTCAAAGATAATTTTATTTTCATTTTTATTTTGAGACAGGGTCTCGCTCTGTTGTCCAGGTTAGAGTGCAGTGGCATGATCATGACTCACTGCAGCCTTGACCTCTCAGGCTCAAGCGATCCTCCCACCTCACTTCCTGAGTAGCTGGGACTACAGGCCTGTGCTACCATGCCTGGCTAATTAAATAAAATGTTTTTGGTAGAGTCAGAGTCTCACTTTGTTGCCCATGCTCCTGGGCTCAAGTAATCCTCTTGCCTCAGCCTCCCACAGTGTTGGAATTATAGTCGTGAGCCACTGTGCCCGACCCAAAGATAATTTTAAAAGCATCATTTAAGTGTGAATTTAATAAAATTAAAATTTATAATATTCACTGAAGGCAGAGATTAGAGTGAGACATCTACTTAATAGGTAATACTTAAAAACAAACTGTGGAGCCATAAGGAACACCTTACCCTAATCCTAAATCAAGTGATTTGGATTTATTTTGCTTATTACATTACATTGTTTAGACAATTCTTTAATCTTGTACTTGTTTATTGAATATATTTTTTAGTTCTGTTATGATCGATTTATCAATAGCCGCAAGAAAATTGGCTTCAGAACAAAAACTCTTTTCTTTGTGTTGTTAAATAAAATGTATGAGAGGCCATGGTTTTGAACTGAGCCCCTGCATTAGGTCGCAACAGATTGAACCAAAATGGGGTCGCTCGTGCTAAGTAATCGAACTGTAATCAAACTGAAACGTAAACGGGAAAATTCCCAAAATAGACTGGCTTTTCGTAAAAACAAGAGATTCACAGCAAGCAATCAGAAAGGGCCCAGTCAGCCTAAGTCAGCATGTTAAGGAAGTCCTCTCTGCTTTAACCCTTTATAAGTAAAGTAACCTGAAGTAAACTGATGTTAACCAATTCACTTTTTGTATTCCTGTTTCCCTATTTCTGTTCAAGCTACCTTAGGAAAACCAACTGGTCTGCCAGGCTCATTGAAGCTCCCTCTATTTTGATTAGCAACTGCCTGTTTTATGAGTCACTAATAAAAGCCAATTAGACATTTTAATCAATTTTGTTGATTTTTTTTTTCTTTTTTTGAGACAGAGTCTTGCTCTGTAGGCCAGGCTGGAGTGTAGTGATGCAATCTCGGCTCACTGCAACCTCTGCCTCCCTGCCTCAGCTTCCCGAGTAGCTGGGATTACAGGCATGTGCCACCAGGCCCACATAATTTTTGTAGTTTTAGTAGAGACGGGGTTTCGCCACATTAGCCAGGCTGGTCTGAAACTCCTGGCCTCAGGTGATCTGCCTGCCTCTACCTCCCAAAGTGCTGGGATTACAGGCGTGAGCCACCGGGCCCAGTCAAATTTTTTTTTTTTTTAATCAACGTATATCAAGGAAACTAAAGGGGTACAAACCATTCAGTGAACAGAAATACACTAGTATCAAGGTTTTGACAGAGATGACATTTACTATTTTTAATCTTTCCAACAACTCTATGAAAAAGGTGCTACTTCCTACTTTCAGCCTGAGGAAACGTTGGTACAGATATTTTGAGTAATTTCTCGGGATCACATAAGGCAGTGAGGGTGGAGTCAGGTTTGATCTTGGGCACTCAGACCTACACTAAGTTATCCTGCTTTTCAAATTCACTCCTTGTCCTCCTTTTCCTCCTCATCTGCAGTGATGACGGATGCATGTGTGTTTTCCACAAGCAGTTGCTCTTTGCCCTGTCTGGTGTCACACCACGTTTACATCCTCTTTCTAAATCTAGGCATCGTTGACAGTAAATATCCTACTGGGTCAAGAGCTAGAATCACCCTCGGGGATTTACAGTACTCCATCTGTCACTTATGAGCAGCAATCTACCTCCAGGTTAAGAAAGGTAGGTTTCTTCTTGAAAGTAAATGCAGGGTTTATTCAGCACCCAGGACATAAAGGCTTAGTGAATTTTTATCAGAGGAACATGGGACTAATAATTTAAAGATCCAGTAGGGAAAGTAATGTTTGCTGGATATTGCAGATTTCATCTTTTAATAATAAAGGAATAGTTCCTCTTTTCCCGCTGGAACCATGGAGAGTGTCAAAGAGAAGAAGAAAAAGTTTCCTGCTGTACCAGAAACCCTTAAGAAAAAGCGAAGAAATTTCACAGAGCTGAAGATCAAATGCCTGAGAAAGAAGTTTGCCCAAAAGATGCTTCGAAAGGCAAGGAGGAAGCTTATCTATGAAAAAGCGAAGCACTATCACAAGGAATATAGACAGATATACGGAACTTAAATTTGAATGGCAAGGATGGCAAGCAAAGCCGGCAACTTCTATGTACCTGCAGAACCCAAATTGGCATTTGTCATCAGGATCAGAGGTATCAGTGGTGTGAGCCCAAAGGTCCGAAAGGTGTTGCAGCTTCTTCGCCTTCGTCAAATCTTCAGTGGAAACTTTGTGAAGCTTAACAAGGTTTCAATTAACATGCTGGGGATTGTAGAACCATATATTGCAGGGGGTACCCAAATCTGAAGTCAGTAAATAAACTAATCTACAAGCGGGGTTATGGCAAAATCAATAAGAAGCGAATTGCTTTGACAGATAACGCTTTGATTGCTCGAACGCTTGGTAAATATGGCATCATCTGCACGGAAGATCTGATTCATGAGATCTATACTGTTGGAAAATGCTTCGAAGAAGCAAATAACTTCCTGTGGTCCTTCAAATTATCTTCTCCATGAGGTGGAAAGAAGAAAAAGACCACCCATTTTGTAGAAGGTGGAGATGCTGGCAACAGGGAGGACCAGATCAACAGCTTATTAGAATAATGAACTAAGGTGTCTACCATGATTATTTTTCTAAGCTGGTCAGTTAATAAACAGTACCTGCTCTCAAAAAAACAAAGAATAACTTTTCTTCAAATATCTGGTCAATGAATGATATTGTACAGAAGAAACTCAGGGAGCATCCTACCTGAAATTTTATTAACAAGTAACTTTTATTTAAAAATTATCAAATAAAATGCAAATTATCTGCATTTTTCCTATTTATTTCCTGTGATCATATAAGAAAATTAGGCAACACATATGGCGTTTTGGACTTTCTAAGAACTTGCTAAGTTTGTGAGACAAAATGTCATGAGGAGCAGCGGCATCCTAGCCAAGGCTGCCTGCTTCCACTGCCCTTAGTTACAGCCCACGCTGTATCCGGATCTCAAACTCTCCATGTTAAGTGTCCTAAGAATTTTTTTTTTGTCCTCCAGCTCCGATGAAGATGCAATGGGGTCTCTTCTTCAGTCTTCCCTGTCAAAAACATCACTTCAACTTCCAGCTTTGGAACTGAGCAGTTAAAAAAATTATTGCACACAATTAAATATTTTAAAACAATTAAAAGTATTGCATATCAATATCGACGTTCTCTTTTGAAATAAGTTGAATGGAAGTTACTTTTTAGTAGTGCGGCAAAGGATAGAATCCATTTTTCCCCTTGCTCTTTCGTTTAAAGATAATTTTCAAATAAAGTTATCTATTAATAAAAATCTAGCTTATGTCTCCCTGGCGCCCTCTCTCTTCCCTCCGAACAGAAAGGGCAGAATCTCTGCAGCCTCCGCAGGGGCCGGGATGCGCAGGTTCAGCGGACAGATCTCTCTCCCACCTGGGACCCCATCGCCAACGCGCCAGCGCTCCAGTGGGGCTATGCGCCAGAGCGGAATCCGCCGCAAGGGGGCGCGCGGGTGCAGCCGGAGGTGGGAGCGAGCGGCTCTGCACGCAGCTTCGGAGGTGCTGGGGTATGTGGGGCTGCGGGGCTAGGTCTGGGCTGCACGGCCCTGGGGGCGCCACGGGGGCGCTTTCTCTTCCCTCTGCAGCCTGCGGAGTGGCGGGGGCAACCCCTTCCTAAGCTGTTTTCCCTCTCTCGGGCTTCTAATTTTTATTTTTATTTTATTTTATTTTATTTTGTTACTTTAAGTTCCAAGATACATGTGCAGAACGTGCAGGTTTGTTACATATGTATGCATGTGCCCTGGTGGTTTGCTGCACCTATCAACCCATCATCTAGGTTTTAAGCCCCATATGCATTAGGTATTTGTCCTAATGCTCTCCGTCCCCAGGGGCTTCTAATTTTTTTTTGTTGTTGTTGTTGAGACGGAGTCTCGCTCTTGTCGCCCAGGCTGGAGTGCATTGGCACGATCTGGGCTCACTGCAACCTCCGCCTCCCGGGTTCAAGCGATTCTTCTGTCTCAGCCTCCCGAGTAGCTGGGATTACAGGCTCCTGCCACCACGCCCTGCTAATTTTTTTTTTTTTTTTTTTTTTTAAACAGGAGTTCACCATTTTGGCCAGGCTTGTCTCGAACTCCTGACCTCAAGTGATCCACCTGCCTCGGCCTCCCAAAGGGTTGGGCCGCGACTTACAGTCGTGAGTCACCGCGCCCGGCCTGGGGCTTCTCATTTTTAAAAGGTATCCAACACGCCTCCCTCCGCACACTCCGCTGGATCTCCAGCGACCCAGCCGGGCTTCAGACAAAAAACGGGCAGCAGGGATGTTCGCAGTCACAAGGACCAGACCAGCCTGCCCCTCACCTGCTACCCCTTTGCCAATAGTGTTTTGTTTTTTGGAGGGGAGGGGGAGGGAGTAAAACATATGTAACATGAACTTTACCATTTTAACCATTTTTAAGTAGTGTGTGATCGACTGGCATTAAGTGCATTCACAATGCTGTGGAGCCATCTCCACTGTCCGTCCCCAGACCATATTCATCATCCCAAACTGCAACCGCAACCGTGAAACACTAATTCCTCATTCTCCTTTCTCCCAGCTCCAGGTAGCCTCTATTACATTCTACTTTCTATCTCTAAGACTTTGTCTACTCTAGGTACTTACTACAAGTGGAATCATATAATATTTGTCTTTGTGTTACTGCCTTATTTCACTTGGCCTATGTCCTTAGGGTTCATCCATGTGGTAGCACTTGTCAAAATTTCCTTCCTTTTTAAGGAAGGAATAATATTCCCTTGTATGTAGAACACCACATTTTGTGTACCATTCATCTGTTGATGGACATTTGGGTTGTTGGCTGTAGTGAATAATGCTGCTATGAACATGGGTGTACAAATACCTGTTTGAGTCCCTACTTTTAATTCTTTTGTGTATATACCTAGAAGTGGAATCATGGTAGTTCTCTTTAACTTTGTGAGGAACCGCCACAGCTGCTGCACCTTTCTTTTTAATAAGTTAAAATATACAATTCATTAATTTCTTTGTCTGCAGGATTTGAAGTTTGAAGCTGGAGGACATCTCTGTTCAATCTCCTGGCTGAGTTTCCCTGGGAGGAAAAATGACTTCTTTAAGGTCATCACTAGGCAGTGACAAAGTCAGTCCTAGAAGCCAATTCTCTTTTCTCTAAAACTTAGGAAAGGAAATATCTAGCACCTCTTTCACTTGAAGGGTATTAAGATTAATGTGGGTGTTATTCATTCATCCTTTCAACAAGTAGTTACTGATTTCCTAATGGGTGAAGGGCGATGTCCTACACACTGGGGTTTGTGAGTATTTAATGAACTCAGGTCTCTGTGCTTGAGATGAAGTCCGGGAGAGGTACATGGACTTATTGAGTCTAGATTACAACCCAGTAAATGCCTCAGTGCTTTCTTATCAGTTCCAAAGGACGTGCACATGTTGAAAACGTGTTTCACTCCTTGAGCATGTTCATCTGATTATTCCGTGAAACAACTGAAGGCCAACTTGTTTGGGGAATTCTTTAAAATCAAATCCATGTTTTTAGCATTTTTTTTTTAAACGGGGTCTTGCTCTGTCACCCAAACTGGAGTGCAGTGGCATGATCAAAGCTCATTGTAACTTCAAACTCTTGGGCTCAGGCAATTCTCTCACCTCTGCCTCCTGAGTAGGTAGGACTGCAGCACACACCTCCATTCCTGGCTAATTTTTTAGTTTTAATTTTTGTAGAGACAGGGGTCTCACTATGTTGCCCAGGCTCGTCTCAAATTCCTGGCCTCAAGCAATTCTCCCACCTTGGCCTTCCAAACTGCTGCTATTACAGGTATGAGCCACCATGCCCAGCCTGTATCTGCATCTGCATCTTTCTTGCCCTTCAGAATATTCAAAGTCTTTTCTCATATATATATATATATATATATATATATATATATATATATATATATATGAGCATTCTAAGCTCATATATGTATGTATATATGGTATATCAGATAGGAGCTATTATTCAATTTTATAAAACAACATACGAAGAGAGAATGTTTAGAATCTTAGCATATACTTTAGTGAAATACAAAGTTTAGTAACAAGAGGCTGAGACTCTTGATTTTTATGCCTCCCAGCCCTAATGCCATCCTTTCAGAGAGTCAAGGGACATTTGATTCAGACCAGCCTCGTGTACCTCCTGGTGAAGCTGACCTGTGTGTTTTAGGTTGGAATAGAAGCCAGTGAAGAAGGTGTGGCTCAAAGGCAACCCCCAATATACAAGTGTCTCCCCTGAGCTTCCTCCCTTGCCTCCACGTCCTCATGTTTCCCCAGATCAGGGCCCCTACAGGATCCCAGGGTTGGAGACAGGGAAACTAGAGTGATGTCCTCCCCTCTCGAGTGTTTCTGAGGATGAACCGGGGGTGACCCAGAGCTTGGTGGGGCTGGAGGCATGGAGGTGGATCAAGCGAGAGCTACCAAATGCCCTGCTGCGGGGTCTTGGCATTGAAGACTCCGGGGTTTTAACTCTGAGCCCTGAGTTTTATCTCCCATTTGCTTTAGATTAGTGGTTGCCAGCCCTGACAAACAGAATCGCCTGGGGAGATTTTAAGCTGGAGCAAGGCTCAGGCTGGCTCTTCACTCCCAGAGATTTCCACTGAATTGGCCTCGTTGGTGCCCAAGCTCTCCAGGTGATTCTAATGTGTAGCTAGCTTGAGAAGCACTGCTTTGAAGGATCTCAAGGGCTGATTTAATCCTCCAATTTTTTGAGTCCTGTATGTTCCTATCTATAAAATTACATCCTCTCTTTCATCTATTTAAAGAAATATATATATATATTTATCTGAAAAGCCACCTCTCTGTAATCTACTTGATCTCCCTTCCTTTTGGAAGCTAATTTACAGCTCTTTTTTTCCCCCTTTTAGAAGGCCCCTGCACTTTCTTCTTTGTGGTTGAGCTATAATATTTCTAGCTGATGTTGGCCCTGAAGGCATACAGAATCACTTCGCGGCTTTTGGTCTTGGCTTCCTGGTTTAGATTCTGAGATAGTGTTGCTTGATTGTTTTCATAGAGGTAATGACATCATGTGTTTTTCTTTCTATTTTTGAAGGTGAAGGTATTTGCGCCTAATGTCGAGCAGATGCTCATCGTTAATCACTTGAAAGGGAGCCCAACAGAAAGAAGAGAAATGTGCTGGAGGAAAGTGCCAGGAGAGCCCGGAGGGACGTCCAAGACTTGGCAGACCTGAACTCGAGCAAGCTTGATGCTGTCATTCTACCTGGTGAGTTAGCTGAAAACTGTGAGGCCAACTGTTCATTTTAATTAAGGTTCACTGACTTTAAACCCTTCTTCGCCAAGGAGTGGTGCAGGCTCAGCTGCCATTTTGAAATCTTCTGTGCCTGGCTCCAGGTCTGTGGCTGTACAAACTGTGCTGTACATGAGAATTACCTGGAGCTTTTAAAAACTCCAGATGCATAGGTCATACCTGAGACCAGCGACATGAGACTCTCCGGGGGTGGAAACCAATATTAGTGTTTATGCTCCCCAAGTGATTTCCCAGTGCCCTATCTAGGGTGACCACTAGGTCTCGAAGTTGGCTGCACATTGGAATCACCTGGTAGCCTTCAAAACCATCAACGCCTGTGTCCCATGATTTCGTTGGTCTAGGGTATGGCCTGGATTTCGGAATTTTAAAAAGATTCCCAGATGATTCTCATGTGCAGACAAGTTTGGGAACTGCTGCTCTCTGCCAGTACTTCTTCAACTTCAATGGACGCATGACTCACCTGGAGATCTTGTTACAATGCAGATTCTGATTCGGCTTCTAGGCAACAGGTGGGGTGTTGCAGGCAGACCACCCTTTGAGGCCTTCAGACTTTGAAAATTACAGTAGAGGTTTTGCCTGTTTCTGGACCTTTTCAGGGCAGAAATCAGTTTTAGATTGATAACGCTCCCTTTTCAAATAAAAGATTTAAAATTAGACTTTAATTTGATTTGTGATCAATAAAACCATAAATCAATCTTTTATTGAAATAAATAAATTGAAATAAAAGATTGATTTACTAGGCTGGGCATGGTGGCTCACACCTGTAATCCCAGCAATTTGGGAGCCCGAGGTGGGCAGATCACTTGAGGTCAGGAGTTTGAGATCAGCCTGGCCAACATGGTGCAACCCCATCTCTACTAAAAATACAAACAATTACCTGGGTGTGGTGGCACGTGCCTGTAATCCCAGCTACTCAGGAGGCTGAGGCAGGAGAATTGCTTGAACCCGGGAGGCAGAGGTTGCAATGAGCCAAGATTGCACAACCGCACTCCAGCCTGGGTGACAGATTGAGACTCTGCCTCAAAAAAAAAAAAAAAAAAAAAAAAAGATTTATTTACTTAAATAAAAGATTCATTTATGAGTACAATTTTCTCAGATATTTTTCTTTGACTTCTTTTTAATTCCCTTCATAAGGAATAGTATGTCCTATGTTTATATTTTTCAAACTAAACAAAGTTAGTTTTATTGTCAGATTATATCAGTTCATTCACAATGTTTCTAAAGCTTTTGGAGACACTTTGGAGATGTCCCACAGTGAGAATTGGGAATCATTGTATTGGATCAGGAGTGTGTGTTGCTTGTTGCTATCTATACATCTACCAAATAGGTTGCTTACTGCTATTTTACATATATAGTGTTCCAGACATTTATTGCTTACATTTCATGGCTTAATCAATAATTTATTATCTTTCTTGGTTCTGTGGGTTGAGTAACGTAGAGGTCAAAGGAAAGCTTTCTCTTTGCCCTCTGAAGATTCTCAGAAAAGTCAGCCCACATAAGGCAGATTAATTGGAGAAAAGGCATACAAATTTAATTAAGGTGTACACCAGGCGAATCACAGAGTGATTACCCATCCCCTAAGGGGGTTCAAAAGCTTATACATCATCCTGGCGAAACAGGTTGCAGGAAGGGGTGGAAGAATTCCATTGAGGGGATTTCTAGGGACAATGAATGAATGGATCAGGGAACAGAGATTAACTTGCACGTTATCTTGTGAAAGAGTCTGATCAGGTATGGTGACATTCTTGGTCTTAGAGAGAGGGGGAGGAAACCTTTTGGTGGGTCTGGATCTTAGGCAGAAAAAGGAGCCCCAGTACTAGCTGGGGTAGCTGGGCTTTGCTTGGGGTGTCTAATAATGTTGCATTGAGGTAGAGGCTGGGGCTGCAGCTATCTAAAGGCTTGGCTTGGCTGGATATCCACAACAGTGTCTTCACTCTCATGTCTGGTGCCTGGGCTAGGATGGCTGAAGAGCTGAAGGCTGGCCATGCAGCCATGTGACCATTCCCTGTGGCAATCCTGGGCTTCCGCATAACTCGTAGGCCTCAGGGTGGTTAGGCTTTTTCCATGCGAATTTGGCATTCCCCAGAACAAGGATTCTAAGTGTGAAAAGACAAACTTAGGCACATTCAAATTTTAACCAGTTTATTTGAATAGACAGCTCATGAATTGGGCAGCTCTAGATGTTCTTGGAAGCAAGGCAAAAAAAAGAAAAACCCCACAAAAAACCATTTGAGTGGTTAAAGTGAAAAGTCACTAGTTTGAGGTTCATTGGCAATTTCTGATTGGTAAAGTCTCTAGTTAGAGGTTGGTTGGTGGTTTCTGATTGGTTAAGCTTAAGTGTTGTTTTCCTGGGATGACCGTGACCGTTCACTCTGAGTTGGGTTTCAGGTTGCTTTTGTAGGAACCCAGAGTGCTGAGCTCTCTCAACCTAATGTCCTCCCAATTAAGAATTTTAGCACAAGAGACTTGGGCTTTCCTCTTACAATGTAGCCAAGAAGTCTCTCTGCATCACTTCTGCAGCTTTCAATGGATCAAAAGTGAGATTCGATTCAAGGAGAGGGGACCCCAAAAGGGCATCAATACCAGGAGGCATGGATATTGGATAACTGTCTTTGGAGACATGCTACACATTATGAATAAAATGTAAGTTTAAATCTATCTACAAATCCCCAGAGAGAGAAAGGGCTAGGGAGATTCATTTTATTTGAGTTGTGGGTGTTTTGAGAATTCACTCTTTTCTTCTACTGCTAATACGGTTAACCCGAGAGACGTTTGTAAGGGTTATTGCTCCTGAAGTCTGGTGCTAATATTAGTGTTTTCACATCTAAGGTAGTATTACTAGCAAATTAATGTCAAAATTACTGCTACTTAAAAAATATTTTATTTTAGCACATAAGGATAGGTTTATGTTTTTAAAATGTATGGAGTTATCTCAAAAGCTTTTTAATAGATATAGTTCTACTTCGTACCAAACTTGAAATATTTAGCAAAAATTAGCATCATGATAGGTGTCCCAGCTTGAATCTTCAGAATTTCATACTGTTGATGCAAAATGATTATTTATTATTATTAGGTTAATATAAGCCCTTTATGTCTATTGAGTCCACTTGCTATAAGGCTACATTGAAGCTATGTAATGTCTTTAATGATTTGAGTGTGTTTCAGAATTTGTCATCAGTTTTTTACAAAAAGATCTCCAAGGTATCTTGACGATTATAGGTTGTGATACTGAGACAGAGTCTTTTTTTTTTGAGACAGACTCTCGCTGTGTCACCCAGGCTGGAGTGCAGTGGTGCAATCTTGGCTCACTGCAACCTCTGCCTCCCGGTTTCAAGCAATTCTCCTGCCTCAGCCTCCCGAGTAGGGCGCACGCCACCACACCCAGCTAATTTTTGTATTTTTAGTAGAGACGGGGTTTCACCATATTGGCCAGGCTGGTCTCAAACTTCTGTCCTCTTGATCTGCCTGCCTTGGCCTCCCAAAGTGCTGGGATTACAGGCATGAGCTACCACGCCCAGCTGCGGTACTGACTTTTTAAAAAAAGTTAATGGGAAAGAAAAAAACAAAGTTAATGAATTAATTCAAAGTCACTATCAATTCTAGAAGACATTAAAGAAATACTATTTTTACATCCTAACCACGTGTGTTATGTGTTGCTCTTCTATACCCTCATTCTTTGCCCAAGATTTGTTCATCCATTCTTCTTGTCAGCTGCCTTAAATAATCCTGGGTCGTCGTCTTTGCTGGTGGCTTTGGAGTAGCTCAGAGCTGCCCTGGATGGGAAAGACTGCTCTGTCGGCAGTTCTGTGAAGGACACTTCAAGCCTTCCCCTGTGGGAGGAAGCCCATCGCTACTGCTGCTGCATTTCCCCTGGCTTGGCAGCCGAAACCTTCCTGCTGGTGAAGTCACAGCGGGTCAGGATAATAATGTGGACAGAGGGAAAGAAAAGGATAGAAAGCTGCCTGCCGAGTAAGCAGGTCCTACGGCGCTTTCCTATTTTCCTTCCTGCAGATAAATATAGACGTGACCACTTTTCTAATAGCTTGACAAATTATCTTTTTTTTTTGTAACAGAGTCTTGCTCTGTCACCCAGGCTGGCAGTGCAGTGCACTGCAGTGGCGTGATCATGACTCACTGCAACCTCGACCTCCTGGGATCAAGCGACCCTCCCACCTTGGCCTCTCGAGTAGCTAGGACCACAGGTATGCACCAACACACCTGGCTAATTTTGTATTTTTTGTAGAGATGGGGTTTTGCCATGTTGCCCAGGCTGGTCTTGAACTCCTGGGCTCAAGTGATCCCCCGGCCTCGGCCTCCCAGGGTGCTAGACAAATTATCATTCATTACGGGGCTGCAGCATTTGGTGATTGGCATTAGGGTGGAGGTGGAGGTGATAAGGGGCTGTGGTTTAAGGTGATAAGACTAGATGGCTTGAATCATATGGAAAATATATTCTTTCAAACTATTAATACATTGGCTTACTCTGAAAGAAAAAAATTCAACGTGGCAATTCTGTTATCATATCATTCAGCTGTAAGAATCAAGTGGCGCTTGCTTTAATTATTTCATATTGATCCTAGTACATTTACCCTTCATTTATCTTACTAACTGGGTATTTAAGTGAAGCCTCATGTTGGGACCGATTTCTTGGGTGCATAATATCTGTGAGCTTTTTTTCTGAACTTGGCAGTGTTTGAGAGGCCAGTGTAAGCCAGTAATTTTAACCTTTTTCACGGTCATGTTGCCAGGTGCCTAAGGAACATTTTTTTCCCCACTCAGTTATAACTTCTCTTCATGATATGTTTTCTGGTGATGACAGAGACACTGCTGTACAGGGCCCTAGCTGTAAACATGGATGTGAGTAAATCCTATGGGGATGTTACCAACAAAATGGCACTGACATGTGCATTCATGGCATGGCCCTTCTGCATGGTTTTTTTTTTAGGCATAAAGTCTCACTATGTTGCCCAGGCTGGAGTACAGTGGCTATTCACTGATGTGATCATTGTGCACTACAGTCTTGAACTTTTGGGTTTAAGCCAGCTTCCTGCCTCAGCCTCGCGAGTAGCTGGGGCTATAGCCACACACCACTGCACCTGGCTCTTTGCATGATATTTCTGGTGGATTAGTAAAAATGGTAGGACATGTTTTACAGCAGGCTTGAGATATAGTGCTTGACGTATAATATTTAGAAGAAATTGTTCAGGTAAAAATAGTTTAGCTCCTACCAGATGAATTACATACTCTTTCACTTGATGGTAGGTACTTTAATTGTGATCTTGACTCATAAGTAAGTAGCAATTATACTGACATACATGGTTTCTAAAAAAGTACATTTTTTATTTTTTAGAGTCAGAAGCAACACTATCATGCCATGCTTCTGAAAGATGGGCATTGGGCTGTTTTAAAGTTTTTATTGAACCTCCAGGTTGGCTCCTTCATAGGTGCCAGCTGTAACTGGGGTTGGTTGACTTGTTTGTAATAACTGCACAAAAAGGATAACTTTTTAAATGAGATGGTAATATCGGAATGTTGAATTCTGCATTTACAACTGCGCTGGAAGACTAAACTAATTTTAGTTATTTCTTGGAAGGTGTTTATTTTGTTCTTTTTATTTTTTATGTTTTTGAGACGGAGTTTTGCTCTTGTTGCCCAGGCTGGAGTGCAATGGTGTGATCTCGGCTCACCGCAACCTCCACCTCCCGGTTCCAACTGATTCTCCTGCCTCAGTCTCCCAAGTAGCTGGGATTATGGGCATGTGCCACCAAGCCCAGCTAATTTTGGATTTTTAGTAGAGACAGGGTTTCTCTATGTTGGTCAGGCTGGTCTCAAACTCCCGACCTCAGATGAGCCACCCGCCTCTGCCTCCCAAAGTGCTGGGATTACAGACGTGAGCCACCGTGCCTGGCCTGTTCTGTTCTTTATGATTCCAATAAAACTATGACCCCCCCCCACCTCCTTTTTTTGAGACAGGGTCTTGCTGTGTTGCCCAGGCTGGAATGCAGTGGTGAGATCTCAGCTCACTGCAACCTCTGCCTCCCAGTCTCTAATGATCCTCCCACCTCAGCCTCCCAAGTAAGCTAGGGTTACAGGTGTACGCCACCATGCTTGGCTAATTTTTTACTTTTTTGTAGAAACAGCTTCTCCCTATATTGCCTAAGCTGTTTTTGAACACCTGGGCTCAAGCAGTCCTCCTGCCACGGCCTCCCAAAGTGCTGGGATTACAGGCATGAGTCACCATTCCCAGCTGAGCCATGAAGCTTTAAGAAAGTTACCATGTATCATAAATTCTTTTGATGTGCCACACAGCTGCAAACTACTGGGCACCCAGGGTTTAAGCAAGAGCCTGAGTAGTTGCCTATGACATACTCACCTGCTTTGAATGTCTTGAATTATTACTTTCTGTGAACTATTACGGTGCTATTTTTTTTTATGGTCAGAGAACAGAGGATGAGTAATTTTACTAATGAATAATTTTTTTAAATAAGCGAAGTATTGCAGGTAGATCTTTTGTTGGGAGAAGAGATTGCACACACATGTACATACTTGCACAACTCTGCTGGAATGAAAAGCAGCACATTTTGTCATGACTTTGCCCCTTTGCCCCCTACCTTGATTCCCTATAGCTTTGCTCTGTGCAGGGAAGTCTTGCTAGAATCGACAAGGAAGCTACCTTTGTATGGTACCACTGGTCTTTTGCAGTCATAGGTTATATCATGGCCCAGAAAGAACTGGAAGCTTTTAATTCCATTAAAGGGAGGCTCACATTCTTTGGACTCTTCTAGTCCCTGAACCTAACTCAGCACCAGAAGCTTACATTCCTACCAGGGGAGGAACAAAGCAAGCAGAGGCTGCCCAGAACAGGCACAGAGCACTTTCCTCATCTTATTCAATTATTTTGCTTGTTGTCTCTCTACCCATAATAGATCGTAAGCTCATGAGAACAGGAGGTTTTGCCTATTTTGTCCATTGCTCTATTACCTGCACTGAGAATATCCCCTGGCAGATAGTAAGCCCTCAATACACACGTGTTAAATTGAATGAAAGCCCATTATTTACCCAGTATCCCCCAAAGAGTTTCCTTTACACAAGCTATCACAGTACTTAACGGTGGTCCCTGGGGCCTATCACACGGGAGTTCTCTGAGTGTGATGTTTTTTAGATAAAACCTTCCAAGCGAAGTTGTTATAAAATATAATTTATAAACATTCCTTTAAAACTCACATGTTCTCATTATAAGCAGCTGGCTTAAAATAATCACAGATCTTCATTAGAGAAATGCAAATCAAAACCACAATGAGATACCATCTCACACCAGTCAGAATGGCTATTACTAAAAAGTCAATAAATAACAGATGCCAGCGAGGTTGTGGAGAAAAAGGAACGCTTATACACTGTTGGTGTGAATTAGTTCAAACATTGTGGAAGACAGTGTGGTGATTCCTCAAAGACCTAAAGACAAATATACCATTTGACTCAGCAATCTCATTACTGGGTATATACCCAAAGGAATATAAATCATTCTATTATAAAGACATATGCATATGTACGTTCATTGCAATACTACTCACAATGCAAAGACATGGAATCAACCTAAATGCCCATCAATGATAGACTAGATAAAGAAAATGTGGTACATATACACTATGGAATACTGTGCAGCCATAAAGAGAATGAGAGCTTTTTTGCCTGCTGCCATGTAAAACATCTCTTTGGTCTTCATCTTCTGCCATGATTGTGAGGCCTCCCCAGCCATGTGAAACTATGCAACAGAGATCGGAGGCTCCCAGCAAAAACCATAACAGTGTGTGAATCCTGCGCCAGCAACTGAGGTGTCCAGATTCTGTTATCAGAACTGACTAGGAGGCTGGCATGATCCATGGAGAGCAAGGAAGAGCAGTGTGGTGTGGTGGCCCACCCGAGAGCCACGTGGGTCAGGGGAGCCCCCACACCCCAGCCAAGGGAGGTGATGAGTGAGCGTGCTACCTAGCCTGGGAAATCGTGCTTTTTCCATGGAACTGTGCAACCCACGGATGGGAAGATCCCACTCGTGAGCCCACTCCACTGGGACCTAGGGTCTCAGCCACGGAGCCATGGAGATTCTCAACAGCCACTCAGCTAGAATCTGCTTAAGCCTGCCAAGTTCCCAGCTGAGGAGTGGCGAGCACCACAGCTGTCACTGCCTGCTGTCTAAGCCATTTGAGCTCCTTGGGAGAGGGGCAGCAGCCAACACTGGGACTGCTAGCTGCCTAACACACTAAGCTCCCAGGGTGGGGGAAGGGTGGCAGCCATCACTATAGCTCCAGGCCATGCTTTTCTCCCCGCTGAAGCCAGGGAGGTTGGACGGGTTGGTCCCAAGAGGTATTCCCCACAGCCCAATACACTGGCTGTGGCAGATGCAGCCATAGTGCCTCTTCAGGCCTGACCCTGATCCATCCCTCCTCACTGGGTGGGGCCTCCCTGCAGGAACTCCAACAACTCCAGCCAGGGGCTCAGGGACTGAACCCTGATCTCCCTGGGTCTGAGCCCCTAGGGGAAGGGGTAGCCATAGTCTCCACGGACTAGCTGACTTAGTCTTTCCTCCTGCTAGTTCTGAGGAACCCAGACAGCCCAGACGAGTGCATTTCCCCCCAGCAAAGCACACCCCCTCCACCAAGGGATATTCAAAGTGCTATATTAAACGGGTCCTGTTCTCTGTGCCACCCAACTGGGTGAGACCTGAGACCTTCCAACAGGGGTTGCCAGATACCCTATACAGGAGCATTCCTACTGGCATCAGGTCAGTGCTCCTTGAGGTTAGAGATCCCAGAGGAAGGAGGAGTCACCCATCTTGCTGTTCTCCAGCCTCCTTGAGTGACATCTTCAGGAGTGGGAGCAAATTAGATGAATAGGGCCTGAAGTGAAGCCCCAGCAAACTGCGGCAGCCCTACAGAAGAGGGACCTGACCATTGAAAGAAAAACAAACAGAAAGCAACAACAACAGCATGAACAAAAAAGTCTCCACAAAAACCTCATTCAAGGGTCAGCAGCCTCAAAGATTGAAACTCATGAAGACGAGAAAGAATCAACGAAAAAACACTGAAAACCTGAAAGGCCAGAATGGCTCTTCTCCAAATGATCGCAACACCTCTCCAGCAGGGGCACAGAACTGAACAGAGGATGAGATGGATGAAGTGACAGAAGTAGGCTTCAGAAGATGGGTAATAACAAACTCTGCTGAGCTAAAGGGGCGTGTTCTAACCCAATGCAAAGAAGATAAGAACTTTGATAAAAGGTTGCAGGAGCTGTTAACTAGAATAACCAGTTTAGAGAGGAACATAAATGACCTGATGGAGCTGAGAAACACAGCATGAGAACTTTGTAACACATACACAAGTATCAATAGCCGAAGCGACCAAGCAGAAGAAAGGGTATCAGAGTTGGAAGACCATCTTGCTGAAATAAGGCACACAGACAAGATTAGAGAAAAAAGAATGAAAAGGAACAAACAAAACCTCCGAGAAATATGGGACTATGTAAAAAGACTCAACCTATGATTGACTGGAGTACCCGAAGAAGATGGGGAGAACGGAACCAACTTGGAAAACACACTTCAGGATATTATCCAGGAGAACTTCCCCAACCTAGCAAGACAGGCCAACATGCAAATTCAGGAAATACAGAAAACACCACTAAGACACTCCACGAGTAGATCAACCCCAAGACACATAATCATCAGATTCTCCAAGGTCAAAATGAAGGAAAAAATGTTAAGGGCAGCCAGAGAGAAAGGACAGGTCACCTACAAAGGGAAGCCCATCAGACCAACAGCGGATCTCTGTGCAGAAATCCTACAGTTTTAAGCCTACTGGGGATATCAGCTTTAGTTAATACTGTGATAGAACACACAGCTTACAGGGCTCAAGTGCAACAGAGCAGTGGCAATGCCTAAAGTGGAGGTGAGGTCCAACTTTTATATAACATTTTCCTACCCTGCAAAGCTGCACAAACAGGAAAGGAAGGGGTTTCAGGTTTAAAAGCCACGCAGAAAAGAAATAACATAGCAGACCTGAGGCTGCTGCTTTAGGAAACACTTGCTTACCAGGCTGGCCCTTGGCTGGTGTCTAGGAACATAGCACTTTAACCCACTCTCTAGCTGATAAGAATGATTCATTGTATCTAGACTGCGCAAGCAACTTGGTTTATGCTGAATACCCGCTTTTCTTCTTTGAGTTTGGAATTCTGATTATTTCTAGGGAGAGGGTGCCTACATAACCAACCATGTAAAATCTTTGAATGCTGAGTCTCTTTCTAGGGCAGAAACATTGCACACACATTACTGAATTTTTCGCTGCTGACAAAAGGAGCCTGCTTCATGAGTCTCCTCAGGGGAGGGAGAGAGCATTAAAAGCCTGTGCTTGGATTTTTCCAGACTTTGCATGTGTGTTTTTCTGTTGCTTATCGTGTCATGTATCCTTGCACTGTAGTAAACCCTAGCCACGGGGCTACTAAATGCTGGGTCCTTCTCATGAATCACCAAATGTGTGCATGGCCTCAGGCATCCCTGAAACATATGCAATAGCCAGCACTAGGGCTCTTTAAAGATGGCAAAAATGTTTCTGCTGACTGAGGCAGTTTGACTCGGGGCCATGGATGTGTGCCAAGGATGCAGAAGTACAGGGAGGGAGCTGAAATGGAAACTTTCTCTGTGAGCCTGAAGCCTTTGTCCCAGGCTCAGGGTGGGTTTCTCCCTGGTGATCTGGCCTGATCCATGTGGAGGGCTAATTTGCTTGTACCTAAGCCCTATAACAATAAAAATGGACTGAGCAGCATCTTTGGTTGTTCTCCCTAAGGGAATGAGAGGGAAAACGCAAGCATTTGCCACAATTCCTAGACGTCAGATCAATTCCTAGACTTTAAATCAAAATTCTAGCCCCATCTCAGGCTTTCTCAGGGCAGGGCAGCTCAGAAACAGTGCTTGTTCTCCAGCCTCATGGAAGGAAGAGACAAGAGGGCTCAGGTCTAACTCCAGCATTCCAATGCAAGGTCTCCACTCGCCCTTTGTAAGTTGAAGACCAGCCCAGGAAATATAGTGAGGCCCTGTCTCTGCAAAAAACAAATTAAAAAAATTGGCTGGGCATGATGGTGCATACCTGTAGTCCCAGCTACTCAGGAGGCTGAGGTAGGAGGATTGTTTGAGCCTGGGAAGCTGAGGCTGTAGTGAGCCATGATCATGCCACTGCACTCTAGCCTGGGCAACAGGGCAAAACCCTGTCTGGGGAAAAAAAAAAAGCCGGGCACGGTGGCTCTTGCTTGTAATCCCAGCACTTTGGGAGGCCAAGGTGGGTGGATCACCTGAGGTCAGGAGTTCGAGACCAGCCTGGCCAACATGGCGAAACCCCATCTCTACTAAAAAAATACAGAAAATTAGCCAGGCATGGTGGCACATGCCTGTAATCACAGCTACTCGGGAGGCTGAGGCAGGAGAATCACTTGAACCCAGGAGGCAGACGTTGCAGTGAGATGAGATTGTGCCTTTGCACTCCAGCCTGGGCAACAGAGTGAGACTCCATCTCAAAAAAAAAAAAAAAAAAAAACAGAAAAGAAAAAAAGAAAGAAATCATCACCTGGAAAGGATGTGGAGAGTGGATCTCTCTCCCCTCTCTTCCTCTCTGTCTCTCCCATTTATATGTGTGGCCTGCCAGTGAAGAGGAGCCTTCAGCTCTCTCTATAGGCCAACATTTCCCTGATGTATTCTCCTGCCTTCAGTTTACTCAGTGGGCATAATGACCAACATCAAGGTCACCCTGAGTACTCTTGTCCCCCTCAGGAGAGAGTGGCTTCCCCAACCCCTGCTGGTGGTCTGAGGCATCTGTCAGGTCTTATCTGAGGATATTATTAATAGTCCTTAGATGTTGCCCCTAGAAACGTCTGCAATGCATCAAGAAAGTACAATTAAATTTACCTCAGGGCTACAATTAAAGAAACCTCTTTTACCTTTTCTTTGATCAGCTGTGTTCAGACAAATTCATCAGGGATTTGTGATGTGTCCTGTGGAACAGCATAATCCAAGTAATAATAGAGAGCCAGCGATTCTACATGTAATTTCAAAGTACTGCTTCAGTTACATCTTACCAGTTCTGATTTGTAGTATTTTTGTCATTGGTTAGTCCCAAATATTTTATAATTTTCATTATTTATTTTGTGATGCAAAATATAAAATAAAAAAAATTTGTGTGTCTTCATTTACAAATACTTCAGGCTTTTTTATTTTTTGGATTACATTTTATTTTATTATTTTATTTTATTTATTTATTTTTCTTTTTTTTTATTATACTTTAAGTTTTAGGGTACATGTGCACATTGTGCAGGTTAGTTACATATGTATACATGTGCATGCTGGTGTGCTGCACCCACTAACTCGTCATCTAGCATTAGGTATATCTCCTGATGCTATCCCTCCTCCCTCCCCCTACCCCACAACAGTCCCCAGAGTGTGATATTCCCCTTCCTGTGTCCATGTGATCTCATTGTTCAATTCCCACCTATGAGTGAGAATATGCGGTGTTTGGTTTTTTGTTCTTGCGATAGTTTACTGAGAATGATGATTTCCAATTTCATCCATGTCCCTACAAAGGACATGAACTCATCATTTTTTATGGCTGCATAGTATTCCATGGTGTATATGTGCCACATTTTCTTAATCCAGTCTATCATTGTTGGACATTTGGGTTGGTTCCAAGTCTTTGCTATTGTGAATAATGCTGCAATAAACATACGTGTGCATGTGTCTTTATAGCAGCATGATTTATAGTCCTTTGGGTATATACCCAGTAATGGGATGGCTGAGTCAAATGCTATTTCCAGTTCTAGATCCCTGAGGAATCGCCACACTGACTTCCACAAGGGTTGAACTAGTTTACAGTCCCACCAACAGTGTAAAAGTGTTCCTATTTCTCCACATCCTCTCCAGCACCTGTTGTTTCCTGACTTTTTAATGATTGCCATTCTAACTGGTGTGAGATGGTATCTCATTGTGGTTTTGATTTGCATTTCTCTGATGGCCAGACAGGGTCTTACTTTGTTGCCCAGGATGGAGTGCAATGGTGCCATCATATCTCATTGTAGCCACAATCTCCTGGGGTCAAGTGATCCTCCTGCCTCAGCCTCCTGAGTAGCCAGGACTGCACGAACATGTGTGCCACTGCGGCTGGCAGCTTTTCTAATTATCTTTTTTAAAATATTGATCTTTAACTTAATTGCATTGTGATTAGAGAAAATAACTGTATGATCCAGTACTTTGAAAAGTTGTTGAGACTGGCATTATGGCTCAGTGTTAGTCCACTTTTGTAAATGTTCTATGAGATTTCTAAAAGATTGTGAAATCTCTAGTTGTTGGGTACAGAATTCCTGTTGTATAAACATGTTGATTGTGTTTAAATATTATGTAGCCCATTTATTTTTGGTTTCCTTGAATATCAATTAATAGGAGAGGAATGTTAAAAATCTCTCAGTATGGTGGTAGATGGATTTCTTCTTGCAGTTCAATATGATTTAGGTGCATGTAGGGTTAGGATTATTTCAGTTAGCTGGTGATTTGAATTTTTTATCGTTACATAGTGACACTATTTATAGTAATGCTTGGTCCAATACTAACATTTATTTGTCCAGTTTTCTTTTGTTAATATTCCATCCGTATATCCCCCATCTTTTATACCGTCAACCCTTCTGCATTTTTTATTTGTCTTGCATAAAGTATATAATTGGATTTTAGAAAGTCTTCTGATGACATCCAAAGCCAGAATGATAAATTTTTTTTAAAAAATGAAAAGACAAACCACAGAGTGGGAGAAAATTTTTACAAAACATGTATCTGATAAAGGATTTATACCCAGAATATATAAAGAGCTCTTATATATTCCAGGTATACGTCCATACCATAAGAAGACCACACAATAAAAAGAACTGGAAAAATGGAGGAGAATGAGTCATTAGGGAAATGCAAATTAAAACCACAATGAGATAACATTACACACTCACTAGAATGGCTGAAATAAAAATGACTGACAATTCTAAGGTTTGGTAAGTATGAGGAGAAACTGGAACCCTCATATATTGTTGGAGAAAACGTAACATGATAGAGCTACTTTGGAAAATCGTTTTTTATAAAGTTAAAAATATATTTACCCAGTGACCCAGAGTCACTCCTAGGTATCTATCAAAAAGAAATGGAAACATATGTTCACACAAAGACCTGTACGTAAATGCTCATAGAAACACTATTCATAATAGCCCAAACTGGAGGCAACCCAACTGTCTATTAATTAGTGAATGGGTAAACAAACATTGGCATATCCCTACAATGGAAAGCTGTCCAGCAATGAAAAGCAAAAAAGTGCTGACACATATGTGGAAGAATCTCAAAACCATTATGCCAGTGAAAGAAGGCAAACACATATGACTGCTTATTATATTATTTGATTTGTCCGAAATGTCTAGAAACAACAGAATTATAGAGATACATCACTGGTTACTATGGGCTGGAGGTGGGAATGGGGATTGATCCCAGATAATATGAGAAAATTTCTTGGAGTAAAAGGAAGTATTCCAAAACTGAATTGTGGTGATGCATGCACAACTCTATAAATTTACTAAAACTTACTGAACCGTACACTTAAAATGGATGAATTAATATGTAAATTAAACATCAATAAAGTTGTTAAACATTTAAAAAATATGTTCAGGAAATCTTGGTCTTTTTAAACTGGAACATTTAGTCCATTTACTCTTTTTGTAATTATAGATATATTTGAATTTTTCCTACCATTTTATTTTGTGCTTTTTATATGTCCTTTTTTATATTTCTTTCCCCCTCATTTTTTGCCTTCCTTTGGATTTTTTTTTGAGGGTCTTGCTCTGTTGCCTACGCTGGAGTACAGCAGCATGATCATGGCTCACTGTAGCCTATGCCTCTGGGGCTCAAGCAATCCTCCAACTTCAACCTCCTGAGTAGCAGGGACTACAAGTGTGTGTCACCATGTTTGGCTAATTTTTTTGATTTTTTTTGTAGAGATGAAATATCACTATGTTGTCCAGACTGTCTCATCAAACTCCTGGGCTCAAGCAGTACTCCTACCTTGGCCTCCCAGAGTGTTGGGATTACAGGCATGAACCACCATGCCTGGCCAGATTATATTTTTCTAATTCAATTTTTCTCCTTCTATTAACCTGGAAGTGGTACATTCTACTGCTGTTCTCGAATGGTTATCCTAGAAATTTCAGTGGACATATAATATGGTTTGGCTGTGTTCCCCACCCACATCTCATCTTGAACTGCAGTTCCCATAATCCCCATGTGTTGTGGGAGGGACCCTGTGGGAGATAATTGAATTATGATGCAATTTACTTTCATGCTGCTGTTCTTATGTTAGTGAGTGCATTCTCCTGAGATCTGATGATTTTATAAGGGGCTTTTCTCCCTTCTGCTTGGCTTTTCTTCTTCCTGCTATCATGTGAAGAAGGACATGTTTGCTTCTCCTTCTGCCGTGATTGTAAGTTCTTGAGACCTCCCCAGTCAAGCGGAACTGTGAGTCAGTTAAACCCCTTCCTTTATAAATTACCCAGTCTCGGGCAGTTCTTTATAGCAGTGTGAGAATGGACTAATACAGTAAATTGGTACTAGGAGTGGGGTACTGCTATAAAGATACCCCAACATGTGGAAGAGACTTTGGAACTGGGTAACAGGCAGAGGTTGGAAAAGTCTGAAGGGCTCAGAAGACAGAAAGATATGGGAAAGTTTGGAACTTCCCAGAGACATGTTGAATGGCATTGACCAAAATGATGATAGTGATATGGACAATGGAATCCAGGTCTCAGATGGAGATGAGGAACTTGTTGGGAACTAGAATAAAGGTGACTGTTGCTACGTTTTAGCAAAGAGACTGGTGGCGTTTTGCCCCTGCCATAGAGATCTGTGGAACTTTGAACTTGAGGGAAGATTTAGGGTATCTGGTGGGAGAAATTTCTAAGCAGCAAAGCATTCAAGAGGTGACTTAGGTGCTGTTAAAAGCATCCTATTTTATGTATTCACAAAGATATGGTTTGGAATTGAAACTTGTGTTTAAAAGAGAAGCAGAGCATGAAAGTTCAGAAAATTTGCATCTTGATGATGTGATGGAAGAGAAAAACCCATTTTCTGAGAAGAAATTCAAGCCATCAGTAGAAATTCACATAAGTAACACGGAGCCAAATGTTGATCACCAAGACAATGGGGAAAATGTCTGCAGGACATGTGAGAACTCTTCACAGCAGTGCCTCCCAACACAGGCCCAGAGGCCTAGGAGAGAAAAATAGTTTCATTGGCTGGGCCCAGGGCCTTGCTGCTTTCTACAGTCTCAGGGCTTACTTGGTTCCCTGCATCCCAGATGAGGCTAAAATGGGCCAAGGTACAGCTCAGGCCATGGCTTCAAGGGGTGTAAGCCCCAAGTCTTGGCAGCTTCCATGTGGTTTTGAGCCTGTGGGTGCACAGAAGTCAAGAATTGAGGTTTGAGAACCTCCTTCTAGATTTCAGAGGATGTATGGAAATGCCTGGATGTCCAGGCAGAAGTTTGCAGCAGGGGTGGAGCCCTCATGTAGAACCTCTGCTTGGGCAGTGCAGAAGGGAAATGTGGGACTGCAGCCCCCACAGAAAGTCCCCACTGGGGCACTGCCTAGTGGAGCTGTGAGAAGAGGGCCACTGTCCTCCAGACTCCAGAATGGTAGATCCACCGACGGCTTGCAATATGTGCCTGGAAAAGCTGTGGACACTCAATGCCAGCCTGTGAAGGAAGCTGGGAGGAGGGGGCTGTACCCTGCAAAACCACAGGGACACAGCTGCCCAAGGCCATGGGAGTCCCACCTCTTGTATCAGAATGACCTGGATGTGAGACATGGAGTCAAAGGATGTCATTTTGGAGCTTTAAGATTTGACTGCCCCGCTGGGTTTTGGATTTGCATGGGGGCTGTAGCCCCTTTGTTTTGGCCAATTTCTCCCATTTGGAATGGATGTATTTACCCAGTGCTTTTACCCCCATTGTATCTAGGAAGTAACTAACTTGCTTTTGATTTTACAGGTCCATAGGCAGAAGGGACTTGCCTTGTCTCAGATGAGACTTTGGAGTTAGACTTTTGCCTTGATGCTGGAATGAGTTAAGACTTTCAGGGACTGTAGGGAAGGCATGATTGTGCTTTGAAATGTGAAGACATGATGTTTGGGAGGGGCCAGAGGCAGAATGATTTGGTATGACCGTGTCCCCACCCAAATGTCATCTTGAATTATAGTTTCCATAATCCCCATGTGTTGTGGGAGGGACCTGGTGGGAGGTAATTGAACCATGGTGCCAGTTACTTTCATGCTTCTATTCTTATGATAGTAAGTTCTCCTGAAATCTGACGGTTTATAGGGAGCTTTCCTGCCTTCTGCTCAGCACTTCTCCTTCCTATGAAGGAAGCACTTCTCCTTCATATGAAGAAGGACGTGTTTGCTTCTCCTTCTGGCATGATTCTAAGTTTCTTGAGGCCTCCTCTGTCATGTGGAACTGTGAGTCAATTAAACCTCTTTCCTTTGTAAATTACCCAGTCTTGGGCAGTTCATTATAGCAGCATGAGAACGGACTAATACAGCATACTTATTAATCAACATCTAGAGTTAATAGGTTGCCCTTTTATTGAACAATACCAGGGATTTGTAACACATTAACTATGATTGTTAGTGTTGCATTTTTAACCCCCATGACACTTCTATTATTTTAATACAGTTTAGTATTTATATAATTACTCACGTATTTACTTCTCTTTTTTCCTTTTCATTCTTTATTGCAACTCTGATTCAAATATTTTTATACTGAAAGGTGATATATTGCAGTGCTTAAGACCATGGGTTCTAGAGCCAAAATGCGATTTTTCCAGACTGCTTTTTACTTCGGCTTGACAAATAGGGAAACTGAGGCAGAGGGCTAATGGTAACATGCTCAAGGCTACATCTAGTGAATGGCAGAGGCAGGATTTAAACCCACCCATTCCCCAGTAGCACCCCTTGCACTGTGGAGGGCTTGGTAATAAGCCATGGTCTAGGAGATCTGTTGGTGACACAATGCACCAGAGCCCTCTCCACTGTCAGAAAATATACATGCAGGTTCACATCCCTCTAAAACCTTGAGGCTCATGAAGTCCACACATAATTCCTATGAAGAGATTAATTTTATAAGTAAATCACAGGTGAGTTGAATTTCACCCTTGTGAATGCTTACAAACTCATTTTTGTGTGTGTGTTTCATCTTGATTTAGGTAAGTGGAACTGTCCTGCAAAATTTTCAGGAGAAGGCTCCTTCCAGATATATGTAGTTCTGTTTCTGGACTCTCTCCATCTTTGTTCATTTTTCCTGGGAAAACCAAGCAGCAGACCCTTGCTTTACAAACCAAATCATTGAATCTCCCCAAATGCAAAGTCATTTAGATGTTGGTAAGCCTCAGGAGAGATTTGTGATAGAATTATTACATGCTGGAGAGTTTGAAGCTACCTCTGGTGGAGAGGGTCCTTTGAGAAGTGTAGTTAACACAGAACAGTCTTCTAGGTCTTCTAGATTTTTGACTATCTTTATAAGGCTTTCCACTGTGTCCCAGGACAGCATCTTGGAGGCATTGGCTCTGAACTTTTCCTCTAGGTCCTCCTGGCTCAGTGGTTTTCTCCAGTGCCCATAGAAGGTATCAGAGCGATCTGTGAAGGTGGCTCCATCCTTGAGGGTGACACTTATTTCACAGTACAGTATGTTGAAGCTTGGCAAGTTGTCCGGAGGGTACTCCAGCTCCACCTTACTGAGCAGCTCTCTCACCTGTGGCCTGTTGATCTGGCATTCATGGAATGAGGGGACAGTGATGCCACCATCAAGCAGCATGGCACAGGCCACATACTGGAATGAATGACGGGCTTCATGCTCCGAAACTGGAAAGGGCCTGTTTACATACTGGACATTTGGTATCCTGAGCACAATTCTCTTAATGTAGTCAGTTGGAAGCAGGGCTCTCTCTGCTACAAGGTGCTTTCTCACAGATGCAGCTGCGTCTGCCACCCAGTGGGTAGATAAATGTGCAGGAAAACGCTTAAAGGCCACGTCCTGCTGGTCCAGCAGCCAACTGTAGGAAGCTATGCTTGGAAGGACTTTTGGGGAATAGTTGGCATAAAAGGCCCCAAATCCTGCCTCCAAGTCCAAGACCTGCTTGTTTCCTTGGAGACCCAACATTGCCAAAAATGCAGCTTCTATCCCATGCTTGGCAGCATTGCCAATGTGGAGGGGCTTGGTCTGGGTGGCAGCATTGGCCATGGGTGCCCCAGCATGGGAAACAGCAATGGCCAGAGCTTCTCGGCACTTTGTCGAGCTAAGTCCTAAAAACTTGGATGCAGCAGCAGCACTACCCAACGTTCCTACCACGGAAGGGG
This sequence comes from Homo sapiens, assembly GCF_000001405.40. NCBI lineage: Eukaryota > Metazoa > Chordata > Mammalia > Primates > Hominidae > Homo > Homo sapiens. The sequence continues at coordinate 76,957,017 of NC_000013.11, read as the reverse complement.
GATGGAATCTGAAAAGCAAAGAAGCAGAGTTGGAGATGTACAAACCGTAACCACCAGGAGGCAGGATAGCGTAGTCATCAAGAACATTGATAATGGAGTCACACTGTCTGGGTTCAGATCTCAGCTCCATTACTTTATTAGCTATATGATCTGGGGAAAATTATTCAACTTCTCTGTAGAGTTTTTCTTACACAAAATGGTGATAGGCGAGGTGTGGTGGTTCATGCCTGTAATCCCAGGACTTTGGGAGGCCAAGGTGGGAGGGTCATCTGAGGTCAGGAGTTTGAGACTAGGTTGGCCAACATGGCAAAACACTGACTCTACTAAAAATACAAAAATTTGCCGGATGTGGTGGTGGGTGCCTGCAGTCCCAGCTACTTGGGAGACTGAGGCAGGAGAATCCCTTGAACCTGGGAGGCAGACGCTGCAGTGAGCTGAGATCATGCTGCTGCACTCCAGCCTAGGTGACAGAGTGAGACTGTCTCAAAAAAATATAATAATAAAAATAATAATAATAAGGCCGGGCACGATGGCTCACGCCTGTAATCCCAGCACTTTGGGAGGCTGAGGCAGGCAGATCACAAGGTCAAGAGCTCGAGACCATCCTGGCCAACATGACGAAACCCCGTCTCTACTAAAAATACAAAAATTAGCTGGGCATGGTGGTGCATGCCTGTAGTCCCAGCTACTTGGGAGGCTGAGGCAGGAGAATCACTTGAACCCAGGAGGCGGAGGTTGCAATGAGCCAAGATTACACCACTGCACTCCAGCCTGGCAACAGAGCGAGACTCCATCTCAAAAAATAAAATAAAATGGTGATAATAATAACATCTACCTCTTAGAGTTTTAGGAGCTTTGAATAAATTAACATGTTTACAATAGTGCTAGCACATAGTGAGTTCTTTATAAATGGTACCATTACAATTATTGCCAGAAAGGCAACAGCTATTGATTGCTGAGATCTCATCTAAGTCACTGTGAGAATTGTGGGCCTTGAAGAAACTGAAACTTCACTACCTAGTATTTCAATTTACTTCTCTCCTGGCAGGCTGGAGCAAGTGGCAACATAAATCTGAGACTGAGCCATATGATGTGGCCGACATTTGACCATTTTTTATCTGCAGGATGAACAGTCAGAGTAAGGATATTCTGAATGTCCTCATTAGTCTGAGGGACGCTAGCTAGTCTCAGAATAGATTCTGCTTTGAGAATGAAATAAGGAATACTCAGTACACCCATGAATGCCAGAATGACATGAATCACCTTGCAACGAGAGGCCCAATTAATCTCACGGTCCAGGTTGCACTCTTGAAGTCACTTCTTTAAATGTGGATAGAGGGTTTCGTATGTGACTGGTGTATTGACTTATCTACCTGTGCTAATGTTAACATCTTCCTCTGAACCGGCCTCTAAGTCAGAAAGCTCTACGGAGATAATGATTGATAGATGAAGGGGATGTGACTACCTTTTGATGGGGCAAATTCTCTCCATACCTCTTTGGCATGTCATTGGCCTCCTTGGCGAAATGCAGTAATCGGCCTTGCACTTCAATACCAACATTGAAAGCCAGCAGCAGGTCAAGGCCAGAAAACTTTGGACTCCTTGGCAGGGCTTCTGCTAAAGCTGTGAGGACAGGAAGGACAGCCCCAGAAGGGTGGGTGGCAGGGTGCCACGTGTCATCAAAATCCATGGAGTGAATCTGTATAAACAGACACAAACAGCAACAAAAAGCCTTAAATTTTCCCTTAATGCAATGGCTTTTGGACCACTAAGGACTTAGTTTAGTAATAACCTTGTTTTATGTGAGATTCTTTTGATCTGATTCTCAGAAAAGAAAATCTGAGAAATGTCTGTGATTTTTTTTCTTTTTTTTTTTTTTTTTTTTTTTTTTGAGACAGAGTCTTGCTCTGTCACCTAGGCTGGAGTGCAGTGGCATGATCCTGGCTCACTGCAACCTCTGCCTCCTGGGTTCAAGCAATTCTCCTGCCTCAGCCTCTGGAGCAGCTGGGATAACAGGTGCCCACCACCGCACCTGGCTAATTTTTGTATTTTTAGTAGAGACGGAGTTTCACTATGTTGGCCAGGGTGGTCTCAAACTCCTGACCTCGTTATCCGCCCGCCTCAGCCTCCCAAAGTGCTAGGATTACAGGCGTGAGCCACCACACCTGGCCTGGCTGTGATTATTAATCACATGGCCGGGCACTGGGAAATGCTGTTCCTCTGCCAGAGGAAGGGAGTACCTTGGAGAGCAGCTTGTGAGCCCCAAGGAGCTTGGGTCTTGCCCTGGTGGCCTGAGCTCCCTCTGCTGTGGCCCCTGGAAAGATCTATATTCCCTTTTAAAAACAAAGCTGCAGAATCAGGTGGCTGGCAATTCCTCCTCCACCCTTTAAATAAGTTGCACTGCAAGTTTAATGTCATTTATTCCATATGAGGCCATACGTTTTTGTACCTTTTTATTATGAAATAATTTCAAACTTTTAGAGAAGTTGTAAGAATAGCACAATAACTGTCAAACTCAGATTAACTTTTCAGCTATATATTTTAAAAATCATTATTTTCTGCTTTAAGATCTTATTCCTCTTTCTCCTAGCCATTTTCTTTTTCTTTATATTAAAACAGTAATATCCAGAAGTTCATTTAAAAATAGATTTTTATATCTATTTGCTGTCACTGGTGCATTTCCCACTGCTTTCAGGACATTGCTTTGGAATGCACCGTTGGCTTTAACTTTCAATCTCCTGAGCTATTGTACCCATAAATCATAAAAATATCTCGGAAATCCCAACATGTCTGTTTCCAAGTTACATCTTGTAGAATATTTCCCGTGACACACAGAAAAAGCATAAAAATCATCTGTCAGATGAGAAGTACAGATTTTTGGTTCAGAAAATACAGACACTATAAGGCCATTGTTCCTTTCTCAATAACTATCTGTTGAATGGATGAATGAGTGAATGAATAAAGAACACATTACTTGAGAGAAACTGGCCCCACAACAGGAAAAACAGAAGATATTAGGTCTGGATATGGGTTTTATATTTTTTTGCTATTTATATTCAAGGTTTTGAATTGGGATACCTTAGGGTGTTTTTATCTAAATCCTTCCATCTTCTTTCCTCTGCTACACAATCTGTTTGAAAAGCATCAATTTACTGTAAAAACATGAAAACTGAATTACTACATAGGAGAGAGGGTAAGCCACTTTATCTGTCTGACTTTCAGTTCTTTCATCTGTAAAATATAGAATTTGGGCAATTTCTGAGATATTTCCTGACTCTAAAATTATTATGATTATCTAATAGTTGAAAAGACGTGAAAACCTCCTTACAGCCACACCGTTCACAAAAGCAGCATATGTGGGCGGGAGCCTGATGTCTGGCTGACCCCAAACAGTGCTGGATATGTTGGAACTGTAGATCTGGAACAAAAGCAAATCAACCAGTGATAGTGTGAATACAGTATACCAAGTCACCATTTCAAGAGTTATTCTTCATCTTTGGAGGCATTATTCATAGTTCTTACTTGAACCTTTGCCACAGATAGAAGCCCTAGTCATTGAATACCTCTCATCCTTGTAGAATACACAGCTCTCCCCTGTGAAAGGGGGAGGAGATGTCGTTGCTTGATCCTAGATCATGATCCGGAAGTGCTCCAAGGAAGCACATCTGAAGTTACTCTTATTTACTCCTTGGGGTAAATACCAGGGAAGATGGACTAACTGTTTATCTCTAATACACCCTAGGGAGAGCAGGAGCTCTCACATACATCCCCACTCTGCTCAGAGTACTTGACCAGGCTTTTCTCCAGAGAATAATAATAATAAACTGTGAGATATTATTAGCATATTTTTTTTCTGTTTATTTGTTTGTTTGTTTTTAAGACAAGGTCATGCTCTGTTGCCTTGGCTGGAGTGCAGTGGCATGATCTTGACTTACTACAACCCCAACCTCTCAGGCTCAAGTGATCCTCCCACCTCTCAGCCTCCCGAGTAGCTGGGACTATAGGCGTGTGCTATCACACCTGGCTAATTTTTATGTTTTTTGTTTTTGTAGAAATGGGTCTTTGCCATGTTGCCAAGGCTGGTCTCAAATTCCTAGGCTCAAACCGTCTGCCCACCTTGGCCTCTGGTAGTGCTGGGATTACAGATATGAGCCACTGTGCCTCACTGTGTATGGTTTTAAGACAGTGACTTAGTAAAGAATATGGATGACTATTAAAACTCAGATAATGGAACATAGGAAATTATAAAAATGATATAGAACAGTGCTATGTACATCAAGTGCTGTCTATAAAACGAAGTATAGAGTAAATGTAACACATATGTATGCACTGGGTTTTATCTCTAATGTAGACCTTGAGCTTCTTACCTTGCTATATTGGCTGGCTATGTGAAACACTTCCGTAGTGGTTCCCAGGAACCCAGCACCCAGAGTGTCTAGAATCATCCTCTTGCTCCTCTGAATAACACGATCTGTCAGGTGTCCCACTTTCAAGCCATGGATTGCTGTGGCAAAGCTTTCTGTGATAGACTTTAAAGGGAAGAGTGTTAGGACAGGGATACACCCCACTTTACTTACACACTTCTGTTCTATAAGACACCTTGAGGCACTTTTGCATAAAGAGTTTTGCTCCACTACAAGAAACCCAGTTGCTCAGATTTAGTTTAATTTCTAAAAAAAAAAAGATGTGTACTAAGCACCTACTATGTGTGAGGCAGAGTAATGTGGGAGCACACAGCAGCCAGTTTATCTTCTCAGTTGAGTTGAGGGGCAGCATAGCAAGCACAGGACACAGCATTGCGTGATGGGTGGTGGTGGAGGGAAGCACAGAGAGTTGTGGGAGGAGGATGCAAGGGACACCTCGTCTGTGTGATAGAGATTTCTGCGGGTGCAGTGCACAGCTGCTATTATGAGACACCTGCCAGGCACTGTGCTGAATGTCTCAAATATATTACCCTTTTAATACCCACAAGTCTCTAGGTAGTTATTTTTGCAGGTGAGGAGACTGAGACCTAGAGAACTGAAGTTACTAATTTTCACAGCTTTTAGGTGGTGGAATCTGAACATAAACCCCTATAGGTGTAACTCGACAATCAGTGCATCTAGCTATCAAGTCCCAAATGGTCAGACGAACATGTACCTCAGAACTGCCTGGGGTTCTTGCTGAAAAGGAACATTTCTGGTCCCCACTCCAGACCACCAAAATTAGACTCTCCCCAGAAATGGAACCTCTGGAAGCATAGCACAGGATTCTGTTTTCATTAGGATCTCTAGGAGGCTCTCAAGTGCTCTGGTGCTCTTACGTACAATATGGCAGCTACTCCCTAATGTGGCTACTGAGCACTTGAAATGCAGCAAATTGAGATGTGTCATAAGAGTAAAATAAAGACTGATTTTTGAAAGCTTAGTAGGAAAAAAAGGATATAAAGCATCTCAATAATTTAAAAATATTGATTGCATGCTGAATCAATGTTCTATTCATTGACCAGGTGTGGTGGCTCATGCCCGTAATCCCAGCACTTTGGGAGACCAAGGCAGATGGATCACTTGAGGTCAGCAGTTCAAGAACAGCCTGGCCAAGGTGGCAAAACCCCATCTCTACTAAAAATACAAAAATTAGCCGGGTGTGGTGGTGGGTACCTGTAATCCCAGCTACTCAGGAAGCTGAGGTGGGAGAATTGCTTGAACCTGGGAGGCGGAGGTTGCAGTGAGCTGAGATCATGCCACCGCACTCCCGCCTGGGCAACAGAGTGAGACTCCTCTCATCTTAATAAAAAAAATTCAATATATTGATATCAACATAATAATATATGGGATATGGTGTAAATAAAACATGTTATTAATTGATCAGTTTCTTCTAAACATTTTCTAAAATTTAAAATACTAGAAAATTTTAAATTACATATGTGACTTGAGAACCACTGCCTGCTCTTCCCTGTTGGTGGAGACATCGATACTTGATCTGGTTATGAAAACTTAAGAGTAGTCATCAGATAATAGTGTAGGGTGATGAGAATGGAGGGTAAAGGTAGAAGTGGAAGCAAGGGCCAAGGCTGGGAGGTGTGAGAGAGTGGAGGGAGTTTGGCTCCTTTCAGCTGTGGAGTTGCATGCAGGAGACAGAGGTGAGAAGGAGAATGGATTTGCAGCTTATGACCGAATGATGAACATTACATCACTCTAAAGACTGTGATGTCAATGGGGAGCCAAAGTGCTGTCTTAAGAAAAGTAGAGTTATGGTCAGAACTAATGTTTTGGAAAGATTCCTGTAGGCAGTTGTGTAGAGAATGGATTGGAGAGGGGTAGACAGGGGCAGTGAAAAGACTGCTGCAGTATCCCAGGTTCTGGATGGGGAAATGGCAGTGCCATTGGCCAAGAGAGAGAACACAGGAAGAGGAGCAGCCTTCCAAGCAATGATGATGGGCTCAGTGTGAACTTGTTGAATATGAAGTGTCTGTGTTCATCCCACTGGAGAAGCTCATTCTGCTTCTACCCATAAGCTAGATAAGAAAAACATGTAAGATTACTTGAATTTCATAAGCAGTGGAGTACTCTGCAATTCTTTTAAAATTCAAATTCTTCAATATGTAGACTGTTATTTTGTTTTCTACACATTTTCACAAGAGAGCATCTATTATGTAGAGTTAAAAACATCCACTCTTAAGTCAGGTTTCACTATCTGCTCACCACCTAGTGAATATTGGATTGCTTCCCTTTCTTGTTCTGGTTACTACATCATTGCACAACTTAATTTGTCTCTCTCAACATCAGATACTTCATTTTTAAATCTTAGCTGTAGGGTGAGGGGCTATTGGATTAGGGGACCTGGGGTATCTGGGGTTCTTTGATACTGAGCTCAGTGCCAGGACAGAGCTACAGAGATGGAACCCGTGCCTAGCTGAACGTCCTTCAACCTGGACACTGACTAGTCCCATTTACAGAGCCTCATGTCAGGTTTATCAAGTCAAGGAACACTTGCCATTTTCAAAAGGATGGGCTATTTTTTATGTCTCTGAGGGCTTTGATAGAAAGGTGGAGGGGTGTATGGGGTGGGCGAAAGCAGGAGAGAAGATGGCTGGGAGAGAGAAAGGATGGTGGCACAAAGGTTTCAGATTAGGGTGGAAGAATAACAATAATGTTGATTTTCACGCTGCTAGAAATTGCAGTTAAAATATTTTTAGGGGCAGAAAGAGAGAGGAAGAAAGGGTTTAAACTTAAGAGTTTCAAATATTGATTGGATCCCTGACTCTAAGCAAAACTACCTCTTTTAAACCTCTCTTCTCACCCCCACAAACCCCACAGCTGGGGGCATGTAGTGATTGATCATTCATCTCTTCAGGGCTAGATCTGACCCAGGGGTGTCTTATGGAGGAATGTGAGACTGGGGAGCAGTGGGGGAGGTGGGGTGGTGACATGGAGCCCTGGAGGTACTTGCACCATCCATCCATATGAGACCGTGCTGCTGGTGATACAGGAAGGTGGAGCCCTGGAATCCTCTGGAAGTCCTGAACAGCACCCTGTGTGCCAAAGAACACATGGCTGTCCCTGGCCCCTGAAGGAACGAAACGTGAGGGGAATAAACACACAGCTGCTCAGCTGTCTGTGGTCCTTGCGTTCATCTATTTCCAAAATATCTTCTGATCTGCTTGACCTTCTCATGGCATTTGCATCTCTGTTTAGTTAAATACAGTGATTATTTAAGTTAAAGAATAACATAAAGCCACTGAACAAATCAATTTCACAATTTTTTTTTTTCAAGACGGAGTCTCGCTCTGTCGCTAGGCTGGAGTACAGTGACACGATCTCGGCTCACTGCAAGCTCCACCTCCCGGGTTCACGCCATTCTCCTGCCTCAGCCTCCCGAGTAGCTGGGACTACGGGCGCCTGCCACCACGCCCAGCTAATTTTTTGTATTCTTAGTAGAGACCGGGTTTTACCGAGTTAGCGAGCATGGTGTCGATCTCCCCTGATCTCGTGATCCATCCGCCTCGGCCTCCCAAAGTGCTGGGATTACAGGCCTGAGCCACTGTGCCCGGCCCACAAGTTCTTACTATGAGTCCAGCACTGTTCTAAGCTCTCAAGACTGCCAAGTCAATACTGGATGGTTCCTGCCTCAAAAAGCTTATCTTATACAGAAGGTGGTGACAGTAAATAGATTAACAGAAATGCAATCTGGCAGCGTCATAATGGACACATAAAACTAGGGGGTTAAAATTCAATGAACTTGTCATAATTCATTCCCTTCCTAACTTTGTACAATAGAATCATGTATCTCATTTGTAAAACAGTAATGAAAGCCACCATGCAGTTAATTAGGTAGCCCACAGGTTGAAAGAAAAGTTAAAGCAGAAGCAGGTAGTTCTTAAAAGGAGAGGGCAACTGAAGAAATTGAGGAAGGAAGAAGTCTGCTAGAAAAGCAATTTAAGTAAGTCACATAAAATGCTACAATACCTTGAGCATCATTTCGTTGTAAAGAAGAGGTTCAGTTCAGGAGGAGTGAACCAGAGGAGTAATTTGTTTGCTGGATGTCTGACTGCCTTTATACCCTTCACTCCTCTCAAACCCATTTCCCTTCATTTTGTTCTAACCCTAGAATTTCTGTCATTTCAACACCTCCTGACTAGACTCACTTTAACTTCCTCTTTAAGGAATTGTTTAACTCTTACGTGGATGAAGAATTCAATGAGGCTAGGATGTACAGTAATCGTGATCATATGATTACTCACAGGCATCAGAAAAAGTAAATTTATAGTAAAACTAGGATTGCCTTTTGTGCCTACATAGCTTATGTCAATACTAGAAGAATAGTCACACTCTTTTAACTAGGTATTCTACTTCTCAAAATTTATCCTAAGGAAGTAAGCATGGATGTATGGAAAATTTTTGGGAAAAAACTCCACCTGCACACAAACAAAATTCATACCCTTGCTTATAAGATCAAAAATTGGAAACATGACTGGGTGCATTGGCTCACACCTATAATCCTAGTGCTTTGGGAGGCCAAGGTGGGAGGATTACTTGAGGCCAGGAGTTTGAGACCGGCCTGGGCAACAAAACAAGACCTTGCCTCTACAAAAAATAAAAAAAAAAAAAAATAGCCAGGTGTGGTGGCGTGTGCCTGCAGTCATAACTACTTGGGAGGCTGAGGCAGGGGGATCACTTGAGCCCAGGAGATTGAGGCTGCAATGAGCTATGATCACACGACTGCACTCCAGCTTGGGTGACAGAGCGTGACCCTTCAAAAAAAAAAAAAAAAAAAAAAGAAAAGAAAACAATCAAATGCCCTCAAATCGGTTAGGTAAAATGTGACGTGCAATATTTAATGTACACACCCATTTTCCCCTTCCACTTCACCCTGTTGGTCACCATTGTCTAGAGACAAATGTGCCATCCAGAAGTTTCTGGCAACTTGAGATTAAGAACCTGGAAGGGCATTGGGGGTTAATGAACTTTTCCCCAGCTTGTACCCTTGCTCATTCCTGAATGGCTCTTTCCATATTTGTACATCTCTGATTCTTGATCCTCTGCCTGGCTTCTGGAATGTAGTGCCTTCCTCCCTGCCATCCTGCTATTGCTGGAGTCTGCTTCAACACAGCTTGTCCAGGCCTCTTTGCCTATTATCGATCACTATGATATGGCTTGCCTGGAATTAACTCTGCTCCTCTGGGCAATTGCCACTTCCCCTGGATTGCCTACTTCTGGCCAATTGGTTTGCACTTACAGTGGGTACCAAAAACAAGTGATTTCAAATCTGAACCTGTTGTTCTAGATATGGTGGCAGAATTTGTCTTTGGAGAAGACAGCATTTAAATTATGGAGGAAATCTCCATGAGCCTTGAGGTTCCATTTCAATCCTATTAGGGAAGAGTTTGGGACAAAGGAGTTAAAATGCTCTGTGTAAAAATGCAAAAGCCCATCTTTCTTGTGGGTGGGGGGAATTCCCTCTTATCCTGGGATGGGTCAGCCTTTTTGTTTTATTCAGGTCTTCAACTGGTTAAATGAAGCCCATTCACCTTAGGGAGGAAAATCTGTTTTACTCAATCTATTGATTTAAATGTTAGACTCATCCAAAACATTATCACAGAAACACCCAGAGTAATGTTGGACCAGCTATCTGGGCACCATGTGGCCCAGTTAAGTTGACATAACCATCACACATAGCAATAGATAGTTAATAAAGCTCCAAGCTGATAATATGACTTATAAGGGCCCTTATAAGACTGTAGTTATCTCTTCATGCTCAAATCAAGCTTAGCGTCTGCCACCCACCACCCATTATGGGGCCATGATTTTTATTGTCTAAGGGACCTTTGTAGCAACGATTCCCTCTTACTTCTTATGTCTTCTCTCCCTACCCTTCTACCTTTTTCTTCTCCTTCACTCTACAACTTCCCTTTTCTTATCTTTCATCTAAGCTAGTGGTCTTAACTGGGGATGAGTTTGTTCCCAGAGGACATTGGGCAATGTCTGGAGATATTTTGGTTGTCACCAAATTGTGGCATCTTATGGGTAGAGTCCAGGTATGTTGCTAAACATTCTACAATGTACAGTACAACCCCAACAACAAAAGAATTACCAGGCCCAAAATGTTAACAGCACCAAAGTTGAGAAAACCCTGTCTAAAGTTTTACACAATTTTTACTTTAGGAAGTTACATCTAGGGCTGGGCTCATGCTTGTAGTCCCAGCACTTTGGGAGGCTAAGGCAGGAGAATCACATGAGCCCAGGAGTTTGAGACCAGCCTGGGCAGCATAATGAGACTCCATTGTGGCAGGCCAGGTCTCACTAACCCAGGCCTACATAACAACTGTTTCAGCACTGACTGAGTGGTTAGGTTAAATGTTAAAAGCTGATAGAGGCAGTGCCCTCATACAAAGGCTAGAATGCAACAAAAGCCCACCAAGAGTTTTGCCTAGGCTTTTCCCGGGTCTTATAGCATGACAAAATAATGAAGGAAGTCTTAACAGGACCCATTTAGGATTAAACAAGTTTTCTTGTGGGTCTGAAGGAACTCCTCAGACCTTCACAAACAAGCTTTACTGGGGACTAGAGGAACTCTCCAGACTTCCATGATCTTGCCTCCATCAGACAAATTAAGGGTAATCACTCCAGCACCTGAATGCATTTAGATTAAGTAAATTTACTGAGGCTCCAGAGGAAGGTCTTCAGGACTCAGATCTTAGTCATAGATTAGAAGAAGTTAATCATGTATGTCTTTAGATGAATGCACACTTACACACAGACATATCGCTTAAAAGGTATATAAGCTCTGGGAAACTTTGTAATTTTGAGTTGGTCTGGTGATAATTTCCAGGCCTTCTCCCTGTAACTGGTTACAGAAATAAAAACCTCGCTTCTTTCCCAGTTCATCTGCATCTCATTATTGGGCCATGAGAATAAGCAGCCCGACCCTCAGTTTGGTCCAGAAACACTGTCTCTACAAAAAAAAAAAAAGGAAGAACTACATCGAAGAGCCCACCACAACATCCTAAGTTTAGGTTATGTGCCCTACCTGTATGTTCCCAGGGGATATAAGTTTCCCCTCTTTGTACCCTTTGTTAGATAGGAACATTCTTTTTAGGCAGGGAACTGATCTACCCTGTTGATCACAATATCCCAGGGTCTCACACACAACTTCACACATAGGTGGTGCTCAGTAAATGTTGAATGAATTAATGCAAACCTGATGCTTTCAATTAGTCAGTCATATTAACTCATGCCCTCATCCCCAACAGAAATGTGTCAGGAGAATCTATTGTTTATTTTTTTTGAGACAAAGTCTTGCTCTGTCACCCAGGCAGGAGTGGAGTGGCACAATCTCGGCTCACTGCAACCTCTGCCTCCCAGTTCAAGCAATTCTTGTGCCCCAGCCTCCTGAGTACCTGGGATTACAGGAACCCACCACCACACCTGGATAATTTTTATATTTTTAGTAGAGACAGGGTTTTGCCATGTTGGCCAAGCTGGTTTTGAACTCCTGACCTCAGGTGATCTGCCCACCTCGGCCTCCCAGAGTGCTGGGATTACAGGTGTGAACCACCACACCGAGCCGAGAATCTATTTTTTAATGGCTGTGGCTTTTATCCTGTTCTGGAGTGCTGGTCTGCCAGCAAATAGAATACAATGAATAGATCTTTATCTTCATCCTGATAACAGCAGCTCCCCTATAAGGGATGCTTGTGGGAGAATGTGAACTGTCAGAGTAAACTGGAAATATTTGAAACAACAAATCAGGAATGTGAGAATAGAGACTATTTTGAAAAAAGAAAAGCCATTTAATTTGTTTAATTTTGTCCAAAATAGCTGATTACAGTCTTTGAATTTCAGTTTCCTTTTTTTCTGACTTGCCCTTCTTTGCCACTATTGGGCAACATCGGATGAGTCAATCTCTGGATTGTTATGATTAAGTTTCATTTGATTGTAAGCCAATGTTTTAGGAGAAAATACAGCGGTAGCAATCAGGGTTCATTTCCCCGATTAATTTTTTGTTAATTCATTTGGGTCATTGAAACGTACTTACCATGAGAATGGTTTTATAAAAGATGAAACTTGGGGCAAATTGTGTTTAATTTCTTTAAAATAACAACAGCAACAATTATCAACAATTACCAAAATTGTTTCCACCTTAGGCCATTATCTATATGCCATTGTTCTGGTTCCATTTTTCCCAGCCCTTAGGACAGCATCACATTTTTCTTTTCTTCTCTTCCTTTCTCTTCTCTTCTCTTCTTTGCTTTTCTTCCTCTTTTTTTTTTTTTTTTTTTGTCAGAGTTTCGCTCTCGTCGCCCAGGCTGGAGTGCAATGGCACCATCTTGACTCACTGTAACCTCTTCCACCTCCTGGGTTCAAGTGATTCTCCTGCCTCAGCCTCTGGAGTAGTTGGGAATACAGGCCCGCACCACCACGCCTGGCTAATTTTTGTATTTTTAGTAGAGATGGGGTTTCACCGTGTTGGCCAGGCTGGTCGACAGCATCACATTTTAACAAGGAAGGTGTAAAATATTAAGAAACTATATTTAAAAACGAATATTTAGGAGAATGCCTCATAGAGTCAGTGTTTATTTTGTATGTATATGTACATTGTGCCTTTGTTTTATTAAACTTTGTATGGAATTTTTTAAGCGTACAGGAAGGGATTAAGTTGCAGGGACTATAAAGTGAGGAATCAGTACAATTGAATGGCTGTGTGGCTGTAAAAGCATTGCTTAAATATGACTGTCTCAACATATTTTATTGTGAAGAAATCTTTACATTTGTGAAAGCTCAGCATGGTTATGATGCATTCTCCAAATCATTCTACCTTGAAGAAAACTATTGTTTGTTGCTTTCTCATAAGCATCAAATAGACTGTTAGTGTTTCTTAGTTAACTAGCAAACATTGAGTGATTATCCATGGGCTGTATTGCCCTGTACCAAATGTCTGCTAAAAACAGAGTAAGATGGATTGATGCCTTATTTGAATAAATCCAGCAGACTTTAAAAAATATTCCATGCAGAAATTGTTTATGCACATTTAGCAGACAGAATGGAATTGAGGTAGTTTGTGCTCTTTTAAACTTAAATATAGAATTATCCCAGACTTTAAAAGCAATATAGTTAAATATCTCAACAGCAGAAATCTAGTTACATTCTTTTGATATTCCCATTTCAAACCAGAGACTCTATTGGAATATCAAGTCTTTTTTTTCATCTCAGAGCAATTTTCTACAATTTTCTGGATTCCATTTCTTCTTTATTTCTCTTTCTGAATATAGATTATTATGACTCTGGATTTTTTCTCCTTGTCTCCACTTGAGTTTTATAATCTCCATAGTTTTGCATAGAATTTCCATTCAGTGTTCTGGTAGAATTGTATGACTTGGTCTTCTAATCACTAATTTGTTCCTCAGTTGTGCTCATTTGGCTTTTCAGCTCCTAATATGTTTCTTATTTTGGCAACCATGTTTTTCTTTTATACTAACTCTTGTTCTCTGATGAACATTTTACATAGCAGTGTTTTCTTATGATATGTCATAATGGTTTGTGATCCTAATGTCTCAAAAGGGAGTCACTCATGTCAAGCTGCATTAAGCCCACAGTGAAGCTGCACCTGCCTCAATGTGATAAACATACATGTAATGGACAGAGGTAATAGCACCTGTTGTCACCAGGTACCACCGAAGACCTGGACTGAACCCAATAGAAAGTGAAAAGTGGCTGAGGATTATAAAAGCAGCAAAGACCAGGCCTTCTCAGAGATGCCTTTGGAGACTCTGCCCGGGGTAAGTCTGAGACCTTCTCCTGTCTTGGTGGATGTCAGCAGAGAGAAGCAGTGACCCTACCAAGGACTCAGGACCCACTTGACTGGTGTGTTAACCATTGGTCACCAGCACGGTTGCTGTGGTTTGTTACCTGCCTCTGATTATTCCCTGTGCGTTGATATTAATTGCATGGTTGGTGGTGTGTGAAGTCCTCTGTATAAACAGTGAATTTGATCACATGTAATTGGCTATTGAGACATTGTGAAAGTGGAAGCTTCTGTTGGAGTTAGTGCCCGTAAGTGTGAACTTAATTAACATATCCATTGGCATGGCCGGTAATATCTTGTTTTATGAATCTTGTAACTTCTCAGTGTCTTTGAGAAAATTACTTCAAATATTAAATACAAGTTTTCTTCTGGGACCTTTTACAAGGCTTCTTCATCTTGGCACCTCTCTTTCATGCTGTTGGTTTTATTCATGTCCAGTGATTCTGCATTGTTCTTTCATATATTGACAAATACAGATTAAGTCAGATTGTAGTGTTGGGACATGACCCTCAACTGCAGGATTTCTCTGACTGCTGTCGACCTGCCTCTGTGTCCTCAATTCCCCAAGCTAAAATGACCACCCTTAGGCTTGGAGATCATGGAGTTTGCTGGTCATTTCTTAAGGAAGCTCTTAAACTCAGCTAAAGTGAGAGGCACTGGTCAGGGTGCCAAAAGAGCAAGGCTAACTGTTCAGCCACGCTTTCATATTACAGTGTTAACATTTAAAAAATATGCAGGTCACAGACCTACAGAGAGAGCTTCAGGTTTACTCACTATTATCTCTTTTTAATTAATTAATTTATTTTTGAGACAGAGTCTTTTTCTCCCAGGCTGGAGTGCAGTGGCACAGTCATAGCTCGCTGTAACTCCAAACTCCTGGGCTTAAGTGATCCTACCACGTCAGCCTCCCAAGTAGCTGGGATTATAGGTGTGAGCCTCTCACCCTGCCTCTGTCATCTCATTTTGGATTACACTAAACGTTAGAATATTCCGTGTCTGCTGTGGGTCCAATCGGCTGTGGTCAGGGCTGCTGGAGTCTCGTGGGACTTCCGTGGTCACTTCGTTTTCAGAGGGGACGGTGGCATGCCACGCATTATTGGGCTTGGCTCTTCAGTTATGATGATATTCCCTTAAGAACTGTCATCATCTGCTTTTCTTTTCTTTCTTTCTTTTTTTTAGAGACAGAGTTTTGCTCTGTTGCCAGGCCTGGAGTGCAATGGTGCGATCTCGGATCACTGCAACCTCTGCCTCCCGGGTTCAAGCAATTCTCCTGCCTCAGCCTCCTGAGTAGCTAGGACTACAGGCATGTGCCACCACACCCAGCTAATTTCTTTTGTATGTTAGTTAGAGACGGGGTTTCACCGTGTTGCCCAGGCTGGTCTCAAACTCCTGAGCTCAGGTCTCGAACTCCTGAGCTCGGCCTCCCAAAGTGCTAGAATTTCCTGAGCTTGGCCTCCCAGAGTGCTAGAATTACAGGCATGAGCCACTGTGCCCGGCCTGCTTTTCATATTTTTTCATGTGGCTTTGACTGTCCCATTTAGTAAATCATAGATCATTAAGCAAGATATTTTGTTGCTATCTTGGTGATTTTATCCCCTTCTCCATTTGTATTTTTATGGTTGTTGGGGCTCAGAAAACAATACCTTCAAATGAAAGCCTCAGAAGCAGCCTCAGAAGCAAAGTCTGTCTCCAACCTTTTGCCCTCCTGTCTCTCGCCCCTCATTCTCCCTGAGGCAAAGCATAGAAATTAGAACCTCTTTTCCCTAAAGCCAGCCATAGAGCCTAAAAATATTCCTCTAACCTTCCCCCACATTTCTGTGTAACAACTGGCCATAAAGAAATTAAGACTCTTGTTTCAGGCTGGGCACAGTGGCTCATGCCTGTAATCTCAGCACTTTGGGAGGCCAAGGCAGGCAGATTGCTCGAGCGCAGGAGTTCAAGACCAGCCTGGGCAACATCGTGAAATCCCATCTCTACAAAAAATACAAAAGTTAATTGGGTGGTGACACACACCTGTAGTCCTAGCTACTCGGGATGCTGAGGTGGGAGAATTGCTTGAGCCAGGGAGGCAGAGGTTGCAGTGAGCTGAGATCGTGCCACTGCACTCCAGCCTGGGTGACAGAGTGAGAACCTGTCTCAAAAAAAAAAAAGACTTTCATTCACAGCGGTTCTACCCAGGAGAAAGGAGTGCTGCACAGAGAAGCCAAGAAGAATCTGGGCATGCAGGCCTCTCTGGGTTTCCCCCACTGAGTCTATTCCCATTAGCTCATACCCTTTTTGTCCAATCCCCTTTCTAAATGGTTGTCCCTACGTCATAGAACCTAAGCGTAAAAATGAACAGTTTCCCTTGTATTTTTAGGCCTCCATCCTGAAAACTTCCATGTCACATAAACCTATGATCAAGTGTACTTGTTATGCTTTTCTCTTGCTAATTTCTCATTTGTTATAGGTGTATTGGCTACAACCTTTATGATGGGAAAGAGGGATCACCTGGGTGATAAATGAGAATTCTAAAAATGGCTTTGTGAAATTAGAGGAGAGGGAGTAAGGAAGGGAGAGAGAGAAGGGGCAGGAGAGAGAGAGAATCACAAAGAGCCATCAGCTGATTGCTGAGTCTGGACTCCATGGAAACATTACCCATGGGCTTATCTTGGCGAGTGACCACATATTCACAGGACTAGTTATCAGCTTTGCAGGGATTGATTCAATCCCAAAGTTGACTAGAATCTTGGGGACTGACTCTAGTAATCCAAGTCACATGAGAATGAAGAATCAATCAGAATTCCAATTTATTAATTTACATTGATCAGAATTTTATCATTTCTAATATGTACAGGAGTGTGTTCTTGAGGCCCTTCTCTATATCAAGGTGCCTGGGAAGGCAAGTTAACAATGCTCACTTGGTTAGTAGGGAAAGAATGAGTGCTGAGGGCTCCCTCACACAGATCACTGAGAAGCCATGATATCGTCTATCTCCCTGGTGCCCAAAACATATGGGTCCACAAGATTCTCTGCTATATGTACTTTTCCAATTTCTTATTTTGCTTCTCATAAATTATCTTTATTTTGCTAACCTTTTAGCCTTTGTGAAAACATAGCATGAACTTACAGCACAATGCAATCACACATTCCTGGATTTTAAATTTATACCCCAACACATTACCCTTGTTTTGTGAGTGGGTAAGTGAGATCTGTACCCTCCAAGTGAATTACACAAAATAACACCGTCTCTGAATATTATAGGGATGACAGCTAATACAAAAAGCTCACTATCATCATGTTTCAATGTGAAAAATTCTTGTCAGTTGAAATATTTGTCATGACTCATTCAAAGTATGCAAATTAGCTATGCATTTCAACATCTTAATACTTCCTCCAAATTTTAGGAAAAGAGTTAGAATTAATGTAGCCTCTTGTGATGTTTCGAAGGCTTGGTACCTTCCGTATGACTACTTGGGTTCTGCCTTCCAGAATTCCTACTTCATGTAGCTCCCTTCCTCCTTCCCTTCTTTTTTACCCCTTGGTATCCACTAAGAACATATTTCCCCACCCTCACCGTTTAACATTATTAATAAAATCTAGTTTGCAAAGATTTTCAAACTTTCTGACTATGGCTTTATATTTTGAATTAGTATTACCTTTTTCCCCACAAACTAAAAAAAAAAAAAAAAATCCTTCTTGCTCTTAGATGTGTGAAAATAGGAAAAGGAATGGTAGAAATCAACAGAAAATCTTTTATACATGAGAAACACTGCTAAGGACTGTGCATGTGGAAGAATAAGATGGTAGGGAAATACAGTTAAAAACAAAATCTCCTCCCAGCCCAGAAATCCTCTCTATTGAGAAAGCAGAGAAAGAAAACACATTTATTATTCAATAAGCGTTAAACCAGAATGTAATGCACATCACAGGCAATCCTCTATGAGATGGCAAAGACAGAAGTCTCATCCTTTTATATAACCAAGCAGATACAACCCACTACCTGCATGTTGTCAAGATAAACAATAACTAGTTCTCAAGAAGACATGACAGCACCATTTGTCACACAGCTCATTCTAACTTTACTTGATAATTAGGGTGACCATCTGTATTAGCTAATTTTCTAGAGAAAAACAAATTTCATATCATGGTGACAGGATTGCTATAAAGATAGTAGTTTTTCAACATGGAGGCACCCATCAAAGTTAGGCATTCCCGTGTTGTGTGTGAGGTGGCCCTCAGCATCCATTCTTCCTTTAACTAACCGAGTGAACATTGATAACTTGCCTTTCCAGGCACCTTGATACAGAGAACGGTCTAATAGCAGACTCCTTATAGACACTAGAAATGATAAAATTCTGATCAATATAAATTAACAAATTGGAATTCTGCTTGACTCTTCATTCTCATGTAACTTGGGTTAGTGAGAGTGAGTCCCCAAGATCCTGGTCAACTTTGGGTCCACTGATTGACTCAAGCCCTGCAAAGCTGATAACTAGTCCTGTGACAATATCAGCCCATGGTTAATGTTCCATCTCATTTTCCTCTGTATCTATAGTATCTATTATCTACCACATTCTGGGTGCTGAATGAATAAATATGGATCCTGGGTGCATATGGCAGTTCCAAGTCCTCATCCCATTCTGGTCTTTAAACAGTTGAGAAGTAATATTTCAGTCTTGAGAGTGACATTCTGCTTGCATGTCCTAAATTGGACAACAGGGACTTCCCTGAAGGGTTTAGAATTGCCCTGTCTCCAAAGACTTCTGGAATTTTAGGGACCAGTTTCAGCTCAGGCACTCACCTTAGGATAGGATGAAACCTGGGGTGGGACCAGTTGCTATCAGGGAGTAATGAGGGGGAGTTTAGAGAGGCCAGGTGGCCTTCTTGGGAAAATGCCTTCATGTCGTCAGCTGCATGTCCATGGCTGGATCCAGCTTTAGTACTGAGGATTTACAGGCAATCTGCCACCGGGGAAATGACAGTCTCACTAACAAACTGGTGAGAGTCTGATGCATAGATCAGAATGCCAACGTATCATTTTAGTTCCTTTATATTGCAAGGCTAGTTTCTTTCATTATCTGGGGTCCTTCCCTATAGCAACATGGCTGGGAAGCCAGATGAGTCATGGAATGTTGCTTGCCAAATGTGGAACTGGAATGAAGCAGTGGGAGGGTGTATTAGTCATGGTTCTCCAGAGAAATAGAACTAATAGGATATATGTAAACATATAAGAGATTTATTATGGGGATTGGCTCACATGATTATGGAGGCCAAGAAGTCCCACAATCTGCCATATGTAAGTTGGAGAACTAAAAGATGGTGTAATTCAGTCCAAGTCTGAAGGCCTGAAAAGCAGAAGCTCCAACATCCTAGGGCAGGAGAAGATGCAAGTGCCAGCTCAAGAAGGAAGAGAGCAAATTTGCTCTTCCTTTGACATTTTGTTCTATTTAGGCCCTCAATGGCTTGGATGATGCCCTCCCACATTGGTGAGGGCGGATCTTCTTTGCTCAGTCTACTGATTCAAATGCTCATCTCTTCTAGAAACACCCCCACAAACACACTCAGAAATAATGTTTTACCAGCTATCTGGGCATCCCTTAGCTCAGTCAAGTTGATACATAAAATTAACCGTCACAGGATTGGAGGGACATTTACCAAGGCCTTGGGAAAGCCAGTTGGAAGTCCCTGCCCCAACATAGCAGATACTTCTCTGTTGGTATTTGCCAGATACAAATTCTCCCCAGTTTATGCTAGTTAGCTTCTGTTCCTTCTTTGTCTTTGTTCCCCTTTTAAAATTCCATACTAATCATTCACCTGTTGTTGCAACACTCAGACACGTGACAGCACATAGTTGTTAGGCCATCTTTTCAGTATAGTTCTTGCAAGAGATTAAACTTGAGTTCTTGTAACTGGTAAGATGGCAGCTTAACAGTTATGGCACATCTTCAGACATAGTGGCACATTGTGTCTCCCTGAGGCCATGCCAATTCTTGGAAGTCTCTTGTTTCATCTAATACTTGGTATGGGTCATTTGTACACAACTCAGTCATTGTCATGGATTTGGCTAGTTTAATCTGTATTTCTCAGTTCTGAGGTGGCTTATGTTGCTTCAATGTGCCAATAACGAGGATTAGGCCCAGTAGTATATGGAGTTGATCATGTCTTAAAGTATCAAAATCTTCGGGTAAATAATTAGTAAAAAGTTGAAGTATGAATAGGAAATCATCTGAGGAATGAGATGATTAAAAAAATAAAACAAGTCCAAAAGCAAGAAGTCTCAAGTCTTCTGCCACCATCCATGAAACTGCGATAGGCTTACCCGTTAGCTTGCACGTAGGGCAACATCTCAGACCGTTCTCAGTTCTTGACAAAGCATCCTGAAGAAGGAAAATGTGCTTCTGAATTGCACAAAGGCACCCTATGTACTAGCAACAGCTTGGAAGGAACTAAGTCTAGAGCATAAATATGAAGAATAAAGAACCTGGGCCAGGCACGATGGCTCATGCCTGTAATCCCAGCACTCTAGGAGGCCGAGGTGGGAAGATCACTTGAGGTTAGGAGCTCTAGACCAGCCTGGGCAACATGGTAAAACCCTGTTTCCACCAAAAAAATAAAATCCATTAGCCAGGTGTGGTGGTGCACACCTGTAATCCCACCTACTTGGGAGGCTGAGGCAGGAGAATCACTTGAACCCAAGAGGCAGAAGTTGTAGTGAGCTGAGATCGTGCCACTGTACTTCAGCTTGGGCGATAGAGTGGGACTCCATTTCCAAAAAAAAAAAAAAAAAAAAAAAAGAATGTGGAGATGATGAATAAGCACGGACTGTGTTTTCCTATCCTTGAGTTTCTCATTTACCTGCAGTTGGGCCCATCACAACTTCCAGGATCAATGCTGACAAACTTAAAAGATGCAAGACACTCAACCCTGGACACTAATAAACTCACTTTGAGGAGATTTTGGAACTCTGATGCCTAGGTAATGCCCCAGACCAATGAAACAGACTCTGGGGGTAGAACCCAGGTACCGGTATTTTAGAAAGCTCCCCAGGTGATTCCATTTGCAGCTAAGGTGAGAGCCAGTGGTGCGGCCTTAAGTTCTGAGAGTTACTGATGATGATACATCCTTGTGGGTGGCCAGCACACACACATCTCCTAATGTGTACCCCAGAGATTTAAGGTGTGTTCCTTTTTTCTGATACGTACCTGACTTTGGGCAGAGTCCTGCCCTTTCCCTAGTTCTATCCTACTCTTGCTTGGTCTTTCTCTAGGACCCATAGATCTCTTCAGATGGCTCCTCTTATCTGCTTGCATTTCTGACTTTTGTCTAATCTCTCACAAGTTGTGTTAAACTTCTTTGGTTTATTGGTTAATTTGTTCAGTTAATTCTTTCAAAACCCTAAGCACTGAAAGAAATATGGAACCCTTATTTTCTTTCCCCACACTTGTAATAAAAATATTTATTAAGCACTTACTATATAGAAGGCATTATTCTAAGAGCTTTGCAAATCTGATGTAATATTTAATTCTAACAAAAAATCCATTATCCCCATTTTATAGATGATAAAACTGAGGCAATGCAAGATGAGTAAATTCCAAAGTTATCTAGCTGTTACATGGTAGAGCCAGGACTTAGAGACAGGCAGTCTGGCTCTAGAGATTACACCAAGTCATACTAACCAATAACATTAATATGAAGAACCCGAATAATGTGATTTTCAACATGATATCTATTTTCATGTTTTCTTGAAAAATGTTATATTCTTCACAAATTTTTTTCTCATTATTTTAGTGTCCCTGTTTAGTGGGTACCTTAAGCACATGCCTATCTCTGTGTTGGGCAATCCAGCACTGCTCTACTAACCCCTGTCAGACTTCCCTCCTGCTGACTGCTGGTTTCAATGACATCCATATGCTCAGATGTAGGGAATGCTCCTGCCTGATGAAATTTCAGCCAGAGCTGGTGGCAGGGTCTGCTTTTCCAGGGCCCACTCACCAGTGTGGGCAGATTTGTTAAGTGCTCCTTTCCTGCAGTTAACTTAGCCATGGCCAGACTGTCCTGGATGTCTCAGACCCAAGAGAGCCTTGATTTCTGTCTTAATAGTAAACAATAAAATCGGTCCATGTTGGCAGGAAATTTACTTTAGAGCAGGGTGTTAATTTTTCAGAGCAGTGGTTCTCAAACATTTTGTGCATCTGAATCCTCAGGCTGTCTAGTGCAAACACAGATTACTGGGCCTTAACCCAAAGTTTCTCATTCAGAATGTCAGGGGTGTGCCCTGAGAATTTGCATTTTTGGATAAGTTTCCAGGTGATGCCTGGGCTGCTGGTCCCAAGACGACACGCTGAGAACCATCGCTTTAGATCTGTGCTGCTGAAATGTGGTCCAGACTAGCAGTGTCGGCATCACCTGGGAACTTGCTAGATATGCAGAATCCTGGGCCACAGCCCTAATCAGCCCCTACAGAATCAGAATCCATGTTTAACAAGTTTCTGAAAATGTAATTTATATGCACATTCAAATTTGAGAAGCACAGGTTTGGGTCACCTGTCTTGATCCCATTCAGGACTTTCAATGTCAAACAAAGGAAAACCTTATTTGACAGCAATATCTGAAATAGTTGTAGCATTAAACTATATTCTGGCCACAAAAAAGATGTAAGAAGATGATATGGGTGATTTGGGGCAAATCTGTCAGAACTCACTCCAAATGGCTCAGCGTTATGTCCTTCCGACAGAGGAAGGGTAATGTCTTCATATTAATAACAATTTAAAAGACTGTTAATATGCACATGCTCAATGCAGCTAATTCCGGAAGAAAAAAAGAACTTTAAAAAATAGTTTTGGCTCCTTTTTTATCAGTAAAACTATAGATTCACATAAAACATATACTCAATTTAAAGGAATACTTTGCAAATCAGAAATGAAAGCTGTTTGTTCTGGGTCACTGACGGTAAAAAGTGGGAAAAAGGGAAGCCCTTTTTTTTTTTTTTTTTTTTTTTTTTTTTTTTTTTTTTGAGACAGAATCTCGCTCTGTAGCCCAGGCTGGAGTGCAGTGGTGTGATCTTGCCTCACTGCAACCTCTGCCTCCTGGGTCCTGGTTTGAGCAATTCTCTAGCCTCAGCCTCCCGAGTAGCTGGGATTACAGGCATGTACCACCATACCCAGCTAATTTTTGTATTTTTAGTACAGACAGGGTTTCACCATGATGGCCAGGCTGGTGTTGAACTCCTGACCTCGTGATCTGCCCACCTTGGCCTCCCAAAGTGTTGGGATTACAGGCGTGAGCCACCGCGCCCGGCCTGGGAAGGCTATTTTCACTATTACCTTTACATTTTGGAAAAAGGACAAGCAGACAAGATAAAATGTATCAAGCTTGTTTTTTTAAAAAAGTTTTAAAACATTTGTGAAGAATATAACATTTTTCAAGAAAGCATTGTCACTTTTCCTGATTCTTGATAAGAATGTGTGGATTTTGAAAGTCAAAGGATGAATGATCAATGTCCACATATAGTGAGAGAAAATAATTTGCATCCATCAACAGTTTCTGAGATATTGTGTGTGAGAATCTTCAAGCAATATCAAAAAAGCTGCTACTTCAAACCAAAAATGTGAAAATGGCTTCATTTAATATTACTGAAATATAAAATCTAAGTGCTACAAAAGTATGAAACTTAATAAGAAATAACAATTTTGAGTGCTTACTGTGTGTCTGAAACTAAGCTAAGTGCTTTATTTACACTGTGCACAATCTCATTGAATCTTTACTGAAACCTTTTGGTTCTATGGTTGGTTGTATTTTACAGATAAGGAAACTGAAGCTCACGGAAGCTTATGAGTGAGTGTATATCCATATGTACTTATTTATTCATGTATATTTCAGTTATAGACATTCTATGCAACCTATCTCTTAAAGAAATTATTATTAGCTTATTTTTCCCAAATGTTGCTTGTAGAAGGATAAAGAGAAAAACTTTCAAAGATTTACAGTTGACCCTTGAACAACATGAGTTTGAACTGAGCAAGGCCACTTATATGTGAATTTTTTTCAATAAATATATTGGAATTTTTTTGAAGTTTTATGGCAACTTGAAAAGACTCACAAATAAACCCTGTAGACTAGAAATATTGAAAAAAATTAAGGAAAAGCTAGGCATGTCATGCATGCATAAAATGTATGTTGATACTAGTCTATCATTTACTGCAACAAAATATACACAAATCTATTAAAGAAAGTTAAAATTTATCAAAACTTATGCACACACGCAGACCGCACATTATGCCATTTGAAGTTGAAAGAAATGTAGACATAAAGAATGAGTATTAAATCATAATTATAACTGCATAAAATCATCTTCACAAGAGCAATTCATCTCTCCAGTAAATTGGGTGTTACGGTAAAAAGTGATTTCTCACAGTTCTCATGTATTTCTTGTCGTGTTTAGTGCAATACCATCAACCGTGGATAACATCATGAGACCCATTCAAAATGCCATTAGTGATGCTGGAAATGCTCCCAAGAAGCAGAGAAAAGTCATGACATTACAAGAAAACGTTGGATTGTTTGATAATATGTACTGTAGATCATGATCTGCAGCTGTGGTTGCCCTCCATTTCAAGATAAATGAATCCAGCATAAGGATCATTGTAAAAAAAGAAAAGGAATGTTGTAAAGCCATTGCTGCAGCTATGCCAGTGGGTGCAGAAATCTTGCACTTTTGGTGAAATACCTTTTTTAAAATTATTTTTGTTTTTTTAAATTTTACTTTAAGTTCTGGGATACATGTGCAGAACGTGCAGTTTTGTTACATAGGTATACATGTGCCATGGTGGTTTGCTACACCTATCAAACTGTCATCTAGGTTTTAAGCCCCACATGCATTAGGTATTTGCCTAATGGCTCTCCCTGCCCCTTGCCCCCGGCCCCCCAACAGGCCCTGGTGTGTGATGTTCCCCTCCCTGTGTCCATGTGTTCTCATTGTTCAACTCCCACTTATGAGTGAGAACATGCAGTGTTTGGTTTTCTGTTCCTGTGTTGGTGAAATACCTTTTTATCTCACATTGAAAATGCAGCTTTTTATGTGGATGCGGGATTGCTATAAAAAAGGCATACCTATATACTAATATCATTCAAAAAAAGCAAAGTCATTATATAACAACTTAAAAACAAAATGAAGGTGAAGGGTCTAATGCTAGAGAATTTAGTGTCAGCAAAGGATGGTTTGATAATTTTACAAAGAGATTTGGCTTAAAAAATGTCAAGATAACAGGAGAAGCAGCTTCTGCCAATGAAGAGGCAGCAGATAAGTTTCCAGATGCCATTAAGAAAATCATTGAGGAGAATGGATATCTTCAAGAAGAGGTTTTTAAAATGCAGATCAAAGTGCTTTATTCTGGAAAAAAAATGCCACAAAGGGCATTTATTAGTAAGAAAGACAAGCGAACAACACGACTGAAGGCAGGAAGGAATAGGCTGACTCTACCATTTTATACAAATGCAGTTAGGTTTATGATTAGGATTGCCCTTAACTATAATACTGTTAACCCTTGAGTCTTGAAGGGAAAAGTTAAACACCAGCTGCCAGTCTTTTGGTTGTACAACAAGAAGGCCTGGACAATGAGAACCCTTTTTCTGGATTGGTCCCTTTGATGGTTTGTCCCTGAAGTCAGGAAGCACCTTGCTAGTAAGTGACTGAACTTAAAAGTACTTTTGATATTTGACAATGTCCCTGGCCACTAAGAACCCCATGAGTTCAACATGGAAGGTGTCAAAGGTGTCTACTTGCCCCCAAACACAGTGTCTCTAATTCACCCTCTAGCTCAGGGGTCATAAAGACCTTTAAGGCTCGTTACACACTGTACTCTATGGAAAGGATTGTCTCTATGGAAGAGTATCTGAGAGAGAGAACATTATGAAAGTCTGAAAGGCTTACCTGCCATTAAAGATGCTATTATTGGGATAAAAAGAATCCTGGGTCATTAAGCCTGAAATAATAAATTCCATTTGGAAAAAACTGTGCCCAGATGTTGCACATGACTTCATAGGATTTATGACAGAGACAGTCAAGGTAATAATAAAAGAGATTGTGGCTATGGCAAAAAGGGTAGGAATAAAGGGTTTCAAGATATAGATCTTAGAGAACTCCAAGAACTAGCAGACGTCACATGAAAGGAATTAATAGGAGATGACTTGATGGAGATGAGTGCTTCTGAATTAGCACCAGACAATAAAGAATAGAGGTCAAAAGAAGCAGGGCCAGAAAACAAATTGACATTAGACAACCTGGCAGAAGCCTTCCAATTAGTCAAGACTGCTTTTGACTTATTTTATGGCATGAACTCTTCTATAACATGAGCATTGAAACTAAAGCAAACATTGGAAGTGTTGTAGAATCCCAAATTCAGGCTCGTGTGCCCAATGTGCAGCTGGAGCCAAACAATGGGACATCGGTGCTTGGAGATAGAGAAAGGTTTTTTCAATTTGGCTAAAGTGAGAAGCCAGGAGAACAAGCTCTCTCAAATCTATCTTAACAAAAAGATGAAGCAGAGAGTTTTTATGCAGCTGGAGAGTAAGGGAGGGGGAGTTTCAGGGAACCCAGGGGAAAAGTCTGTCTTCAGTCTCAGATAACACCTTGAGCAGCCAGATTTCTGGGTGTCAGCAGCTGGTTGAAACATTCTTAAAGGCATTCATTTCTTCTACAAAAATGTTTTGTGACCCTGAAGTTATTTCCCTCTGCTTGACAAAGAAATAGTACATCAGCAGTTTATAATTGTATTGTGGGGAAAAAGGGATATTGGTCAAAGAGGGAGTGGTTAACATGTGCAAGCAAGACAAGACAGGACCTGACCAGAATTTTCATGATTTCAGTCACTAAAAATACAGGGGTACTGAAATCTAAAGGGGCCTAGTTGTAGAAGGATTAGTACCATATAGAAACATTTAGATAAATTAAAAAGCAAAACCAAAAAATAATCAGACGGAATTAACAATGTATTTCCATAAAGTTACATGGTGATATAGTGTGGCCATGTCACCATGCAAATCTCACCTTGAATTGTAATAATCCCTATGTGTCATGGGAGGGACGCTATGGGAGATAATTGAATCATGGGAGCGGTTTTCTCCATACTGATCTCGTGGTAGTGAATAAGTCTCACGAGATCTGATGGTTTTATAAGTGGGAGTTCCCCTGCATAAGCTCTCTCTTGCCTATTGCCATGTAAGACACGCCCTTGCTCCTCCTTTGCCCTCCACCATAATTGTGAGGCCTCCCCAGCCATGTGGCACTGTGAGTCAGTTAAACCTCTTCCTCTTTATAAATTACCCAGTCTCAGTTATGTCTTTATTAGCGTGAAAACGGACTAATACACATGTAACGTCCCTGCCTCTCCTGCCTCCCCTTCTACCTCCTTCACCCCTTCTGCCTCTGCCACCCCTGACACAGCAAGACCAACCCTCCTCTTCCTCCTACTTTTCAGCCTACTCAATGTAAAGATGACGAGGATGAAGACCTTTGTGGTGATCCACTTCTACTTAATGAATACTATATGTGTGTATGTGTATATGTGTATGTATTTATATATGTGTGTGAATATATGCATATATGTGTATGCATGTATATATGTGTGTACACATACACACACACACACAGGCACACACATATTTTACTAGGCAAAGAGCTTTATTAACCTTTGTTTCAAACTTTATTCCCAGGCTTCTTCAGCTTAATTAGCTGCAAAGAGTGAATTGTATATAAGCAAAAACTGAAAAGAGCTGCAGTGTCCAAGGGGCTTAAAAATATTAGAGATCTAGATTTTATTAGATCTGTAAACAAAACATTTTTAAAAAGCAGTCATAACATAAAACAGCAGCTCTCAGTAACTACTTCAAGTTTTATCTTCTTCAGAAGTTGACTTAATTCAGTTTGCCTCATTGTTGGAAGCCTCATCAGAATTCTCCACAAGATCTAGAACTTCATCATCCTCTCCAGTAGCAAGTGGTGCTTTTCCACCCACAGATTGTTTGGGCAGTGTTAGCCAGTCTCTTTGAACTAGTCAGACCATCTGCAGCACTGGTTTATGATCGATGCTGAGTAGCATTTCTGTCAGCTGCTTTGTCTCAGCATGGCCTGTCATGGTGAAAGTGTTTGCTGCCAGCGATGCCTGAACTTCAGGGTTGTTAAAGTGAATCACTGTTCCTTGGTGTGTAAACATATTCACCTCTTCAATACCAGGGATATTGTTTACCCCTAATTTCTTTAAGGAGAACTGAAATTTTTTATCCTCTGCTGTCGCTAGGTTTATGATCAGGACTACCCTTATGTATAAAACCGTTAACCTCTGAGCCTTGAAGGGACAAGATAAATGCCAGCTGCCAGTCTTTTGGTTGTACCAGAAGGCCTGGACAATGAGAACCCTTTTTCTGGATTGGTTCCATTGCTGTTTTGTCCCTGAAGTCAAGAAGTACCTTACCAAACTGACTTTTAAAGTTCTTTTGATATTGGCCAATGTCCCTGGACATTCAAAACCTCATGAGTTCAACACCAAAGGTGTCAAAGGGGCCTACTTGCCCTCAAACACAGCGTCTCAGATGCTGTGAACCACCTTTTTCCTGTGAGCAGTTCCTTTCCGACCAGTGTGCACTTCTGCTTGCCGTTTGGTGAGTTTTTGGTTCATGATTGTTTCTTTCATCTTATCTGAGTGGAAAAGGGGCTGCGTGGGGGACTAGGGTTGGCACTTGGGGAGTCCCGGGTGAGACCAGCTGAGATTAGAAGCACACAGGGAGGCAGGATGGCAGCTAAAGGAATACATTTTCTTTTCTCTAGCTTAATTTATTGTAATATAATACATACAATATATGTGTTAATCAACTGTATGTGTTATTGGTAAGGCTTCCAGTTAACAGTTAAGGCTATTAGCAAAGTTTTTGTGGAATCGAAAGTTATACCCAGATTTTTTACTGCATGGGAAGTCAGCACCCATAACCCCCATGTTGTTCAAGGGTCAACTGTACTTAATTTGCCTTTTATTAGGATGAAGAATGTTTCCTGAGACCCACTGTCTTGGTTTGGCCAGGACTGAGGTGTTTCATTGCTAAATCCAAGCGGGTTTCAGGACAATTGGCTACTCTACTGGGATTTCAGGGAAGGGACACATTGAGACTAAGCCTTTAAAATCAGATAGCTTGAGCTATCTCTAGTTTTAGTTAATAAGTGGCTTTTATGATTAAAGGGAACTAAAAGCTTCAAAGTGCCTTAAGGTCTATTCTTTTTTTTTTCTAGGTCATAAGGACCTATTTATTTATTTTATTTTACTTTTAGTTCCAGGTTACATGTTGAGAATGTGCAGGTTTGTTACATAGGTATACGTGTGCCATGGTGGTTTGCTGCACCTATCAACCTGTCACCTAGGTTTTAAGCCCCGCATGCATTAACTATTTGTCATGATGCTCTCCCTCCCATCGCGCCCCCTCCCTGCCCCGGCCACAACAGGTCCCAGTGTGTGTTATTCCCCTCTCTGTGTCCATGTGTTCTCTTTGTTCAACTCCCACTTATGAGTGAGAACATGCGGTGTTTGGTTTTCTGTTCCTGTGTTAGTTTGCCAAGGATGATGGCTTCCAGCTTCATCCATGTCCCTGCAAAGGACATGATCTCATTCCTTTTTATTCTTAATGGATTAATGAATGCTACATTTCCAATGCTAGAACTGGCTTGTTTTTTCCTTTTCTTTTTTTTTTTTCTCAGCTGTGTTTTTGGCCAAATGAGAATCACAGCGTGAAGCCACAGGATCGAACCTTTTGATTTGCCCTACCTACGAGAATACAGAGAAGGAATCAGCTTGTTTGATTCTGTAGACGTGTCTCAAAGCCTTTGTGCAGTTTGAATTTTTAAACTGACAAGTGAAGGAGCCTGCTTTGCTTGTAGTACATAAGCGACCCAACTGCAATTTTGAGTTGTGAGCTTATCTTTGGAATGCTGAGGTATCATGGTCTGGTGGGCCTTTGTTAGGCTAATTTCTGTCCTGGTAGATGAGGCTCATGCAGTATAAAGTTGAACCATAAATCTGTGTAAGGCAGACCCATGATTATTCATTTTTAAGGGAGGATATTTTTCCCTCCCACCTGTCCCCCACTACTGAGAGTCCACATGGAGATAGGCAAGCATTCTTGTTGACTCCTTGTGCTGGTTGGTGGGTAATTTTTCTAGTGTCTCTAGGACAGCCAGATAAAAATACAGGGTGTCCAGTTAAATTTAAATTTCAGATAAACAGCAACAAAAATTTCTAGGAGAAGTATGTTCCAGATAATGCATTGGACACACTTATATTAAAAGTTCATTTGTAATTCCAATTTAACTGGCCAGCCTATATTTTTATTTGCTAAATCTGGCAAGTCTGGGTATACCTTTTACTTAGGCTGAGGTCCTTTGTGGATTATAGCTTTATTTGGGGCCTCAGTGTAACTCCCCAAGTTAAGTGGGGTCTTCTGCTTTTATGAAGCCATTAAAACCTCAGCCTCAGGTTTGTAATGTTAGCATCAAACCGGAAAGCCTTTCACCAGCGTGACTGTTGCACTTTTTGTTCTCTAGCTGCCTGCTATAGTTTCCATCTCATTGTCTTTGGCCCCTGCAGTTCTCTTATTTTCTTCCAAGCTTAGGCATACATTCAAAAGAATATTTTATTTTGTTTGGGGTTTTCAGGTGTTTCAAAGTGTTCAAGTGAAGTTTCAAAGTGTTCAAGTGAAGTTTCAAACTTCAAATCAGGCTCTTGAACATATTCCCAATTCTGCATTCTTCTGGAAGAATTAGATGGATGGATTCTTCTGCAGTGTAAACAGCATAGAACATAGATATTAAGATCCAGGTTGAAAAAAATCCAACGACAGATTATCAGTTGATCTGCTCTTCCCTATAGTAGGAGATGGAAACCCTGACATGGGCTCTGTAACTATTCACTGAGGCCTCTGTGAGTATACTGGAGTGGGAAAAGTTAATACCCTGCTCTCTAGACTTCCTAAGCTATTCAGGGGGAAGGGGAGAGATATTATGCATGATCATGTGTATTTGACCTAGGTATAACGAAGTTGATAGTACAACAGGATACTTTGAAGTGAACTTTTTTTCTAAAACAAGTTTCAAAGACCAAAGGTGAAATATGGGAAGAAATAATTAAAGAGCACCGCATTAATTTAGGAAAATGTAATCTGTAAGTCCAGTTGACTTAATTGCTCAGGTTATGTTATACGTTATAGATGCATTATTGTCTCCAGATATTCCAAACCCTCCCTGCAGTACCTGTCCCTGGGAGGGCTACCCATTCCCTTCCTGGCCGTGTGACTGGGGTTTGGCCAATGCAGTGCTAATAGATGATTTGTGGTTTGTCATATCTCTTTTCTCTTTGCCAGGACAGGACAACATTCCAGTGGTTATGAGAGGTAAAGTCACAGCCAACCTCTATAGTGGATATGTAGAGTGAGCAAGAAAAAAAGAAGCCTTTGTTCTTTAAGCCATGGGGAAGTTTTCAGGTTGTTAGTTACTGTAGCACCCTAACCCTCAAGCATGGTGCTAGGCACTGAAGGTAGAACAGTGAGCAAATTTGATGTACTCTTGTCCCTCATAGAACTTACATTCTAATAGAGGTGACAGAAATTAGTCAAATAGGTGAATTCATATAACCATAAAACTGAGGTAGATATTTTGAAGAAAACCAAATCTCGGGGAAGTTAAAATGCATTTCTTTCAATGATATTCCACTTATTTTCAGAAAAGCTTGAGGCTGTTTACAAAATCGAACACAATACACAATTTAAACCAGAGACAAATTAATATAGCAGAGAAATCAATGTCACAATGTCCTTGAGATAAATCAATTACTGCAGGAGAGCACAATAATTATTTCTGAGTTTCCTAAAGATAAGGCAAACAAGGAAATCTTTGAGTTATGTAATTTTTATTGTTTGACAGCAGGACAGAGACAAACACTTTCAGGAACTCAAGCTTTTCTTGCTCTGAATCACGAAGTAATTTATCAACTGGCTCTTTACAGAAGGGACAATTTAACAGGCAGTAACTAACTCGGGTCTTGCAAAAGTCACAGGAACATTGTTTAAAGGGATATTTTTCGTATAAATCATATATAAAAGTTACAGAGAATAAAAATCCTGATTAAGGGAAGTCATTTCTGCTGGGAGCTTAGATGATATAAGCCAGATTCTTGCTTTCTGCTATGTAACCCATGGCTGGGGGCAATATCTGGAAGAGGGGCAATGGATACTCTAGTATCATGACCCTGAGGACTCCCTTAAATATTGGAAGTCTCACAGGAGCCTTTGGCAAAGGCTGGAATTAAACCGATTTGTCATTGGATTTTTTTCCAACTTGGATCTTAGTATCTATGTTCTATGCTGTTTCACTGCAGAAGAATCCATCCACCCAATCCTTCCAGAATAATGCAGAATTGTCAAAATGTTCAAGAGCCTGATGTCTATCTTTTGTCATACATCAGTTGAATAGGATATACCCATATCCCGTGGGTAGGATCAATATTTGCCTCAAAAAGAAGCATTGAATTTCCTCAAGTGCTTCAAAAGACTAGTTAAGACAGCAGACTTTAGCACCATAAAACATGGAAGGGATAAGATGGGTCTGAAAATTTTAAGGGCTTTTGTTGACAATGGACTGCTTCAGTCAAACAAGAACCTGGCAGGCCATACCTGGCTCATCAGGTGGAAGAGTGAACACTTGGTCTAAATCAGCACTGGTTAGCAGGAGAAAAGGGTCACCACCGTCAGAGTTGTCACACTTCCTTCTTGAAAAGCTGCTTTGACTGTATGGACCTGGGTAATGCCATAGACACGAGCACGGTGCTATGTGATTTTAGTAGAACATTTGTCATCGTTTGTCATGATTTCTGTTGCAGATATACGTCTCTACCCATAAACTTGAGTATTTAAGAAGTGTATCTTTTGTAGAATTTCTGTAACTGAACACATTTTCTCACTGAATCTCCATTCTGCTGAATGGCAAATACTAAATCTTAGTTGGTCCCAGGATCTCCCTGTCCTTCACCTTCCTGTACATTGTGGGGAGGGGGAGGACACTTATGTCATCTCAAGTCATCGGGTAGGGGACATCAAGTGTCAGGCCTTAGGTTGGCAACATCTATCTAACCTGGCTTTGATAGACACACCTTTGCTCCTTCTGGCCCCTGGTCTCTGGTGTTTGTGCTGTGTCAGCCTCATACCAAGTCAGAGGCCTCATGGGTTTTGCTCTTTTTCTGTTATTTACCCATCCCTCCTGGGCTCATGGGGAATACCATGAACTCTTCCTTTGCCTCACTGGATTTTGGAGGCCCTGATGATGTTTTAGGCTTGTCTGCCCAGGTGCCCACACATTGATGATTCTTCTACTGTTTCCACTCTGGATGTGGGATATCTCTGTGGATCTTGCTGGAATGTTTTCAGTGTTAACAGA
Source organism: Homo sapiens (assembly GCF_000001405.40). Lineage (NCBI taxonomy): Eukaryota > Metazoa > Chordata > Mammalia > Primates > Hominidae > Homo > Homo sapiens. The sequence continues at coordinate 76,923,287 of NC_000013.11, read as the reverse complement.
TGTCCCCAAACCCATTTGGAGTTTCTATTATTCACCCTCTCCCACCAGTGATGGGGACAGGAGTGGGACTCCATTTCAGAGATACCTTAATATCTCAGCTCTTCTCTTCCTCTGACTCCCCCTTACTGGCAGAATCCTTGTCTATTTTTGGGATGGAACTGCACTTGTCTTTGATTTGGTAGACATCTATATCCAGTGGTTAAGGCATATACTTCAGGCCTTGAGTCCGGCAGCCTACATTTTCAAAGGCTTTAATACTAAAATTCTGGGATCTTGAGTCTTTAGTTTTTTTCTATTCTGCTATGGCAACCCTTCTGAAGGGCAGCAGACATAGAAAACCATAGCTGCTTCCTGAGTTGGGAGGAAGCTCATGGGTTTTAGGAAGTTTGAGGAGAATTCACAGTTACTTTATGAAAATAGTAGACTGCTTCAATATTTTCATTTTCATGATAGAGGTAGAGGAATGTGTTAAAATAGTGCAGTGAGGTGGGCAGCTAGCTACTTGAACAACCATCTTCATGGAATAGTGGTCCCTTGGACCCTTTTAAGAATCTCATGAAAACTATAGATCTTTTCTTTAGAAAATGCCCATTCAGACAAAATTGGGCATATAATTTCATGTTAGTGAATTTCAGTAAAAATCCTGGTGATAGTATATTGTGTACTTCATAGGGAGGCTTCTTAAAGTTTTATGCAAACTGCTGTTTTGTACTTAGCTTTAAAGACTACCTAACCAAATTTTATAGGGAAATACATGGAGGATCAAAGAGGTGAGGTGATTTTTCCTGGGCTAGATAACCAGTGATGCTGCTATGTTGTTCCAGAGCTTTGGATGAAGCTGTAGGAGACATTTCACTCAGATGTATAGATGATACTAAGCTAAAACAGATAGCTGAGATGGTCAATCTCAGATCAAATTATACTATCTTAAGTGGTCTTGACAGGCTGAAGAGCTACACTAAAACCAAGACATATATTTGAATAGTTTAACAACTTGCGTTCAGAGATGTCCTGTAAGGCATAGGTGTGCACTCTTGAATGCTGGTTGTTCACAAACCAGAAGTGTGGCAGGGCTTCTTAACTTGTTGCTGTAACTTTCTTTACATGAATGCCACACTTTCCAAACCTCCAGTAGTCCTGATTATCTGTTTCTGGGCAAGCTAGGCTGTGAATGTCCCCACCTAGTGCAGACCGGTACAGAGCTCAGAGGGTTGATACTCTGAAGTATATACTCATAATATTGAGCCTTAAGACTGTATTTGCTCCATCCACTTGCATCAGAATTGGCTCATTCTAATAGCACCTTGATCTTGGACTTCCCAGCCTCCAGAACTGTGAGCAATAAATTTCGGTTATATAAGTCACCCAGTCTATGGTATTTTTAAAATGACAGCACCAGCTGATACAGTGTTGATTTTTGTCCTGTTAATTTTTTAAAAACCTAGAATGTATAAGCCTACCTCAGAGATATTGCTGGGTCAGTTCCATATCACTGGCATAAAGCAAATATCACAATGAAGTGAGTCACACAAATTTTTTGGCTTTCCAGTGCATATAAAAGCTATGTTTGGCCAAATGTAGTGGCTCATTCCTGTAATCCCAGCACTTTAGGAGGCTGAGGCTGGCAGATAGCCTGAGGTCAGGAGTTTGAGAACAGCCTCAGCAATATAGCAAAACCTTGTCTTTATAAAAAATAGAAAAATTTGTCGGATGTGGTGGTGGTGTGCACCTGTAATCCCAGCTCTCAGGAGGCTGAAGTGGGAGAATCACTTGAGTCCAGGAGGTGGAGATTGCAGTGAGCCGAGATTGCACCACTGGACTCCAGCCTGGGTGACAGAGTGAGACCCTGTCTCAAAAAAATAAAAAAGTTATGTTTACAGTATACTGTAGTCTATTAAGTGTGCAATAGCATTATGTCTAAAAAAGTGTACATACCTTAATTCAGAAATACCTTATTCCTAAAAAATGCTAACATTCACCTGGACCTTCAGTAAGTGTAATATTTTTTCTGGTGGAGGGACTTGCCACAGTGTCGATGGCTGCTGACTGATCAGGGTGGTGGCTGTTGAAGGTTGAGGTGACTGTGGCAATTTCTTAAGACAAAAATGAAGCTTGTTATATCAACTGACTTTCTTTCACAAAAGATTTGCCTGTAGCATGTGATGCTGTTAGACAGCATTTTACTCATGGTTGAACGTCTTTCAAAATTGGAGTTAATCCTCTCGAAGCCTACCATTGCTTTATCAACTAAAATTATGGAATATTCTAAATCCCTAAATCCCTTGTCATTTCAACAATGCTCATGGCATCTTCACCAGGAGTAGGTTGTATCTTAAGAAACTACTTTCGTTATTCATCTCTAAGAAGCAACTCCTTATCTGCTAAAGTTTTATCATGGGACTGCAGCAATTCAGTCACATCTTCAGGCTCCACTTATAATTCTAGTTCTCTGGCTATTTCTTTTTTAAAAAAAAATTTTCCATAAGTAATTGGGGTACAGGTGGTATTTGGTTACATGAGTAATTTCTTTAGTGGTGATTTGTGAGAATTTGATGCACCCATCACCCGAGCAGTATACACTGTACCATATTTGTAGTCTTCTAGCCCTGACCCTCCTCCCACTCTTTCCCCCAAGTCCCCAAAGTCATTGCATCATTCTTATGCCTTTGCGTCCCCATATCTTAGCTCCCACATATCAATGAGAACATATGATGTGTGGTTTGCCATTCCTGAGTTACTTCACTTAGAATAATACTCTCCAATCTCATCCAGGTCACTGCAAATGCTATTAATTCATTCCTTTTTATGGCTGCATAGTATTCCACCATATAGGTATATACCACAGTTTCTTTATCCACTTGATTGATGGGCATTTGGGTTCGTTCCACAATTTTGCAATTGTGAATTGCACTGTTGTAAATGTGTGTGCAAGTATCTTTTTTGAGTAATGACTTCCTTTCCTCTGGGTAGATAGCCAACAGTGGGATTGCTGGATCAAATGGTAGTTCTACTTTTAGTTCTTTAAGGAATCTCCATACTGTTTTCCATAATGGCTGTACTAGTTTACATTCCCACCAGCAGTGTAGAAGTGTTCCCTGTTTACCGCATCCATGCCAGCATCTACTGTTTTTTGATTTTTTGATTATGGCCATTCTTATAGGAGTGAGGTAGTACCTCATTGTGGTTTTGACTTGCATTTCCCTGATCATTAGTGATGTTGAACATTTTTTTCACGTTTCTTGGCCATTTGTGTATCTTCTTTTCATGTCCTTAGCCTACTTTTTGATGGGATTGTTTGTTTTTTTTCTTACTGATTTGTTTGAGTTTATTGTAGATTCTGGATATTAGTCCTTTGTCAGATGTATAGATTGTAAAGATTTTCTCCCACTCTGTGGGTTGTCTGTTTACTCTGCTGACTGTTCCTTTTGCTGTGCTGAGTTCTTATCCATTTTGCGGTTCTGCATCTTTTAAGTGGAGCATTTAGGCCATTTACATTCAATGTTAGTATTGAAACCTGAGGTACTGTTGCATTCATCATGCTCTTTGTTGCCTGTGTACTTTGGTTTTTTTGTTTTTTGTTTTTGCTTTTTAACTTATATTTTTATTTTATAGGTCCTGTCCGATTTATGCTTTAATGAGGTTCTGTTTTGATGTGTTTTCAGGATTTGTTTCAAGATTTAGAGCTCCTTTTAGCAGTTCTTATAGAGGTGGCTTGGTAATGGTGAATTCTCTCAGCATTTGTTTGTCTGAAAGACTGTCTCTTTCCTTCATCTATGATGCTTAGTTTTGCTGGATTTACAAAATTCTTGGCTGATAATTGTTTTGTTTGAGGAGGCTGAAGATAGGGCCCAAATCCCTTCTAGCCTGTAGGGTTTCTGCTGAGAAATCTGCTGTTAATCTGATAGGTTTTCCTTTATAGGTTACCTGGTGCTTCTGTCTCATAGCTCTTAAGATTCTTTCTTTTGTCTTAACTTTGGATAACCTGATGACAATGTGCCTAGGGGAAGATCTTTTTGTGATGAATTTCCTTGGTGTTCTTTGTGCTTCTTGTTTTTGGATGTCTAGGCCTCTAGCAAGGCTGGGGAGGTTTTCCTTGATTATTCCCCCAAATATGTTTTCCAAGCTTTTAGGATTCTCTTCTTCCTCAGATACACCAATTATTCTTAGGTTTGGTCGTTTAACATAATCCCAGACTTCTTGGAGGCTTTGTTCATATTTTCTTATTCTTTTTTCTTTGTCTTTGTTGGAATGGGTTAATTTGAAGACCTTGTCTTCAAGCTCTGAATTTCTTTTACTTGTTCAATTCTATTACTGAGACTTTCCAGAGCACTTTGCATTTCTAAAAGTGTGTCCAAACTTTCCTGAATTTTTTACTGTATTTTCTTTAAGCAGTCTATTTCCTTGAACATTTCTTCCTTCACTTCTGGTACCATATTTTGTATTGCCTTGCATTGGGCTTCACCTTCTCTGGTCCCTCCCTAATTAGCTTAATAACTATCCTCCTGAATTCTTTTTCAGGTAAATCAGGGATTTTTTTCTTGGTTTGGATCCATTGCTGGTGAACTAGTGTGATTTTTGGGGGGGTGTTGAAGAGCCTTGTTTTGTCATATTACCAGGGTTGGTTTTCTGGTTCCTTCTCATTTGGGTAGGCTCTGTCAGAAGGAAGGTCTAGCACTGAAGGCTGTTGTTCATATTCTTTTGTCCCATAGGATGTTCCCTTGATGTAGTACTCTCCGCCTTTTCCTATGGATGTGGCTTCCAGTGAGCTGAACTGCAGTGATTGTTGTCTCTCTTCTGGGTCTAGCCACCCAGCAAGTCTACCTGGCTCTGGGCTGGTACTGGGGGTTGTCTGCACAGACTCCCATGATGTGAACTGTCTATGGATCTCTCAGCCATGGATACCAACACCTGTTCCTGTGGAGGTGGTAGGGAGTACAATGGACTCTGTGAGTGTTCTTAGCTTTGGTGGTTTAATGCTCTATTTTTGTGCTGGTTGGCCTCCTGCTAGGAGGTGGTGCTTTCCAGACAGCATCAGCTGTGGTATTACGGGGAAGAACCGGCAGTGGACGGGGCCCTAGAACTTCCAAGATTATATGCCTTTTGTCTTCGGCTACCAGAGTGGGTAGGGAAGGACCATCAGGTGGGGGCAGGGCTAGGCATGTCTGAGCTCAGACTCTCCTTGGGTGGGTCTTGCTGCGGCTGCTGTGGCGGATGGGAGTGAGAGTCCCAGGTCACTGGAGTTGTGTACGTGGGAGGATTATGGCTGCCTCTGCTGAGTCATGCAGGTTGTCAGGGAAGTGGGGGAAAGCCGGCAGTCACAGGCCTCACCCAGCTCCCATGCAAACCGAAGGGCTGGTCTCACTCCCTGCGTGTCCCTTATCAGCCCCCAGACTGTTTCCAGGCAGAGAGCAATACCAGCTTGAAAACCTGCCCCAGGCTACTCGCCTCCTAGTTGCGAAATAAAAGGTCTGGATTTTTCCCAGGCCTGTAGAGTCTGCATACTGGATTTGCACCCTCCCCCTGGTTCTGGCCAGGAGGCTTCTCACCCTGTTCAAATTGTTACTAAGTTCAGCTAGAGATTTGCTTCTTCCTGTGTAGTTTTACCCCCTGCTCCTCTCCCGCTGGATCCCTGAGGTGCCAGGCAGGAGTAGCCTGCTAAGGCACCCAGCAAGCTCCCAGGGCCTTTCTGCTGCTTCCTCTACCCCTGTATTTCACTTGGCTCTCCACATTGACTCAGCTCCAGATAAAGTCAGAAACTTCTCCCACAAACAGACCTTCAGCTTTTCCAGTGGGGGTGTGTGTTTAGGAGAGGAGGGTCTCCCTTTCCCAACTTCCACAGTTGGGGCACTCACAGTTTTGAGGGTTCACCTGGGTCCTACAGGAGCAGTCTCCTTTCTTTAGAGGGTCTGTGGAATTGCTCTTGGAATTGCTGTCTCTTGCTATTTCTGTCACATCTGCAGTTACTTCTTACACTGAAGTCTGGAACCTCTCCAAGTCATCCATGAGCATTGGAATCAACTTCTTCCAGACTCCTATTCATGTTGATATTTTGATCTCCTCCCATGAGTCATGAATGTTCTTAATGGCATCTAGAATAGTGAATCCTTTCCAGAAGGGTTTCAATTTACTTTGCCCAGATCCGTCAGAGAAATCAATATCTATGGCAGCAATAACCATATGAAATGTATTTCTTAAATAATAAGACTCGAAAGTTAAAAATTTGTCCTTGATCCTTGGGCTGCAGAACAGATGTTATATTAACAGGCATGAAAAGAACATTAATTTCCTTATATGTCTGCATCGGCACTCTTAAGTGATCAGGTGCATTGTCTCTGAGCAGTAATATTTTGAAAGTAATCTTTTTCTGAACACTGGGTCTCAACAGTGGTCTTAAAACATTCAGTAAACCATGCTGTACACAGGTGCTGTCATCCAGGCTCTGTTCCATTTATAGAGCACAGGTAGAGTAGATTTAGCGCCATTCTTAAAGGCTCTAGATTTTCAGAATGGTCAATGTGCGTTGACTTCAACTTCAAGTCAAGCTGCATTAGCCCCTAACAGGAGGCTCTGCCTGTTCTTTGAAGCTTTGGAGCCAGGCATTTACTTCTCTTCTCTAGCTGTGAAAGTCCTAGGTGGTACCTTCTTCCAATAAAATAAGGGATGCCTGTAGTTGTCTTCAGTTTCTTGAAGGATTGTTATCTTCTCAGGGGTATAGAAGTAGGCTGGGTAGCTCTATAAGATTGAATTAGGATCAGTTGGTAAAAATTGCAGGGAGGCCGCCTTGTGTTCAAGATCTAAGAATAAAATAAAACCTTCTAACAGAGAAATGGGCTGGGAGTGGGTTGGCTGTCATTGGAAGTTGAGTTTTATGGATGTCATATAAAGTTTCTTGCATTAATAAGGACATTGGACTGGATAACTTTTAAAGTCTCTTCAACTCTAGGATTTTTTAAGCACATTAAATGTCTTTGGAAACAACCAAAATAGACTTTTCTGACTTTGGAGAAAAACAAACTTTTTTCTCAGAACGTTGACTCCGTGGGTCAAATCTCTGACTAACTATTATGACAAAAGATGCTCTGGCCACGTAGAGGGTCCTAGTAGAGTGATTTTATTCAACAACTATTTCCTTTGTGCCTATTATGAGTTATATGCTGTGGTAGGTGAATGAGATACAAAGAAGATTTTTAAAAAGTGGTCTCTGTGGCTGGGTGTGGTGGCTCATGCCTATAATCCCAACAACTTAGGATGTTGAGGTGGGAGAATTGCTTGAGCCCTAGTTTGAGAGCAGCCTGGGCAACATAGTGAGACCCTGTCTCTACAAAAAATAATTTAAAAAATTTAGTTGGGCATGGTGGTATACACTTGTAGTCCCAGCTACTAGAAAGGCCAAGATGGGAAGATCACTTGAGCCCAGAAGGTTGAGGCTGCAGTAAGCCATAATTGCACCACTGCATTCCACCCTGGGTGACAGAGTGAGAACTTGTCTCAAAAAAAGTAGTCTCTGCCCTTGGGGAAGTTGACAAAAATGGAAGAGAGAAATCTATAATATTAATAAAAAATGATATTTATTAAGAACATAATACATGGCAGGTGCTAGTCTAAATGTTTTTAATATTAACAATAGTCCTATAAGATACCCATTTACAGATGAGAAAACTGAGGTATAAAGCGTAAAAGAATACTTTGCTCTATTTCACCCAATTATTAAGTGCTAGACCAGCATGGAGGTGGTCTGACTTCAGAAGCTATGCCCTTAATCTTAGCACTATCCTTCCTCTTTCCTGTAATATCTTTCCTTTGTACCGAATCACATCGTGTCCTCCTGGTTCTCCTTCATCCTCTCTAACTGTGCTTCTCAGTGTCCTCCATGACTCCTTTTCCTCTGCCAGGCCGTTTTACCTGGTGTTCTCCAGAGCTCTGCCTAGGCTTTCTTCCCACGTTGAGCCCTCTCCAGGGGTTCTCTGAAGGTCTCATGGTCCCTGATTACCAGTCAGGGGCAGACAACTTGCAGATCTGTCTCCTTAGCTCATTCTGCATCCCCAACTTTCAGGCTCAGACGTTCAGTTGCCTCTTAGATATCTTTACCCAAATGTCCATACGCATCCAGTGCTCTATGTGAAGTATACTGAATGCATCAACTTTCTTCCTAAATTCACTTCTCCTATGTAGTCCATATCTTACATGGGACCCTATCCATGCTGAAAAACTAGGAGCCATATTTGACTTTTGTCTTATCCTGCACAGTCAATCTATATGGGACCCCATCCATACTGGAAAACTAGGAGCCATATTCTTTGAATTTCTGAAGATAGGGCCCAAATCCCTTCTAGCTTGTAGAGGTTCTGCTGAGAAATCTGCTGTTAATCTGATAGGTTTTCCTTTGTAGGTTACCTGGTGCTTCTGTCTCACAGCTTTTAAGATTCTTTCTTTTGTCGTAACTTTGGATAACCTGATGACAATGTGCCTAGGGGAAGATCTTTTTGCGATAAATTTCCTGGGTGTTCTTTGTGCTTCTTGTATTTGGATGCCTAGGTCTCTAGCAGACCCCATGCACCATTCATCTTTCTATTTCTAGGGTTGGGCACCATGTCTGATCCAGCAGATGCTCAATAAATAAGCTTTTGAAATAAATGTATTTATTGAAATAGCTAAATGAATAGAAACGGTTAGTGTGGCATGACACGGGGAATTGATTAAGTACCAAGGAGCCAGTGAACCAGGGATTACAGATTCTGCTTGGGAGACCCAAGTAGGCTTCACAGGAGAGATGACATTTCATTAAGACCTTCAGAGAAAAGGATGAGTAGACATGGGCTAGGTACAGCACAGGGGAAAAGGACTTTGTTGGCAGAGGGAATTTTCAGGGTGAGGTGGGCGGTTTGGCAGGGCTGGAAACAGGGGACCTGAGCGGGGTGGTAGCTGGCAGGTGGGCTGAGAGGTGGCATGCAGCAGGACTGGGGAGGCTGCCTCACCTCTGTTGTAGCCAGATGGACCCTGGCTGAGAACCCAGGGAAAGCAATGCCACCTACTATGCCGAAATTGGTTTTCCAGCCCCTTGCGTGGGAAGAAGTCAGTAGATCACTTATTAACTTGTCAACACACTGGAATTTTTAAGTGAAAACCCTCTCATAGAATTAGAAAATCCATATGTGTGACATATGGAAAACATTCAACAAATACAGTGAACATTTTTCTAACTTGTGACACGTGTTTGCCATCAAGCATTTAAAAAGAGGTCCTGTCCTTTATTATTTTATAAAACGTGTCTCTCTTGATTGCATGATTTTTCCATTTCTCCTCCCTGACATTTTCATTCTAAAGTTATATAGTCATATGAGGCTTAATTGCTGCTGCTACTTTTAGCAGCCTTCACTCACTGTTGAGATTTTTATTTCCATATAACAATGACGCACCTAGAATTACACCATAATAATTATTGGTAAAGTTAATTGCAATCCAGCTCTTTCACTCTTTCATGTTTTATTGGTAATTCTCACAGTTTAAAGGGTTATAATCTGTATAGCACCTGACACAGTTCTGAGCACTTAGTGTGTGCTCAATAAACTGTAATGAGTAAAAAGAAAGTATTGCTTTCAACTGATTTGATCTTGTGATTTATAAGCATTTGAAAGGTGCTATTTTATTTTATTTATTTATTTTTTTTCAGGCAGAGTCTTGTTGTGTCACCCAGGCTAGAGTGCAGTGTTGCAGTCTTGGTTCACTGCAACCTCCACCTCCTGGGTTCAAATGATTCTCCTGCCTCAGCCTTCCAAGTAGCTGGGATTACAGGGGCCTGCCACCACGCCTGGCTAGTTTTTGTATCTTTTTAGTAGAGATGGAGTTTCACCAGGTTGGCCAGGCTGGTCTCAAACTCCTGATCTCAAGTGATCCTCACACCTTGGCTTCCCAAAGTGCTCGGATTACAGGTGTGAGCCACCATGCCTGGCCTGAAAGGTGCTATTTTAATTAAGGCTACTTTGTCTTCCAAAATTTCAGAGTTAAGTCCTTAAGACTTTTCTTCAGTGAAGAATAGGCAATTGCTGCAGCCCAATTTACTGTCCAAGCCTTTTTGCAGAATCAAAAGTTCCTGAGGGAATGACTGTTGCACTTCTGTCATTTGTTAAAAAATGAATTGGGTGGTTACTATGTGTCAGGGTTGTCTTAATGACGAGAAACACAGGAATCAAGCAGACCTGGTTTCATCCCTAAAAACCTTGCAATTTAGTACAGGTAGCCATACAAAAACCCAAGTCTTCCAGAAGTCTACCAAGGCCATGGTAGAGCCACAGAGAAGAGAGTAATCAGCTCTTCACAGAGGTTTAGGAATGACTTCACACAGGAGGTTATGAGCTTGAACCAAGCCATAAATGGCCAAAATATGTTCCTGCATTACAAGTAGAGGATAGTGGTGGCAGGATGTGCAGTGAAATTGGTTAAGTCAGGTTCATGGAGAACTCTGTATGGCTTCATAAGCAGTTTACACTTTATCCTATAAGCAAAGGGGGCTTTTAATGGGAGAGTGAAATGGTCAGATTAACCACAAAGATCATTCAGGTAGCAGTGCAGACAATGGGTTCAGGGAGTAGAGTGGGAGGTGAGTGGGTGGGCTGTGCAATGTTTTGGCAGGGATGCCAATTATAATACAACCCAATGGGCCGGGCACAGTGGCTCATGCCTACAATCCTAGCACTTTGGGAGGCTGGGGTGGGTGGATCACTTGAGGTCAGGAATTTGAGACCAGCCTGGACAATGTGGTAAAACGCCTTCTCTACTAAAAATACAAAAATTAGCTGGACATGGTGGCACGTGCCTGTAATCCCAGCTACTTTGGAGGCTGAGGCAGGAGAATCACTTGAACCTGGGAAGCAGAGGTTGCAGTGAGCCAAGATCGTGCCACTGCACTCCAGCCTGGGTGACAGAGTGAGATCCCATCTAAAAAAAAAAAAAAAAAGAAAGAAAAGAAAAATACAACCCAACAACTATTAAAACAACTCAGGCCTGAAACAACGAGAATGGAAAATTAAACAGTAACAGATCAGTAATTTTTTAATTGGAGGCCTGCAGCTTTGTCTCCCAGGGGATATTTGACAATGTTGGAAAACTTTTTGTTTCGCGAGGGCAACCTTAGCATCTACTAGGTCAGTAATGCTGCTAAACAGCCTACGATGCACAGGGTGGCACTCACAGCAAAGAGTTATCTGGCCTGGAATGTCAATAGTGCCAAGACTGAGAAGCCTCGAAGCAGATGGAAAGAAGAAACAGGTATAAGGGCAGTTAGGAAGCAGAATCTACTAAACTTGGTGACCGATAGAATGTAAAAGGGTAGAGGAGAGCATAGTCCAGGGTTACTCCAGGTTTCTGTTGTGGGTGTCTAGAGATAAGAAATACAAGAGGAGGAACAGTGTTGGGGGAAGAGGATAGGTTTAGCTTTAGACATATTAAACTGCCTGGGTGATGGGATCAATTGTACCTCAAACTTCAGCATCCTGGAATATACCTGTGTAACAAATCTGTACGTGTACCTCCAAGTCTAAAATAAAAGTTGACATTTTAAAAAATAAAGTTTAAATACCTATAGGATGTGAAAGTGAAGATATCCTGGAGGCAGGTGGGTATATGGATCAGGAGTCCGGATTGGGGATGGAGATAGAGATTTGGGAACTATCAGCATAGAGATCACCTTGAATGTGAATGTGTGATGAAAGTAACTTTAATTGATTTGCTTTATGGCAGAGATAGTCAATGTTTGCCAAATGTTAGGGAATGAATGTGTGTGTGTCCCTTTAAAATTTATGTATTGAAACTGTAAACCCCAATGTGATGGTATTTGGAGGTAGAGCCTTTGGGAGGTAATAAGTTTCTGTTGTTTGATCCACCCAGTTCATGCTATTTTGTTACAGCAGCCAAAGCTGACTAAGACACCAAATATCCAAGTGTTGTTCTGTATCTCCTGCCTTCTTTCTAGTGAGACTGGGGCCATGTGACTAGGTCTGGCTGATGGCCTAGGAGCAGAAGCGTCCCTTCCAGGTTAACAGGGTGAAGAATTGGTGTGCAGCCTCCTTCCCTTTCTTCCCCTGCCTCTGTGCCTGAGGAGGCCACGTGTTCCAGAGGCAAAGGAGGAGGGTGGCTGATTCTTGACTGAACTTTGTGTGAGTGAGAAATTAACTTGGTTTCAGCCACTAAGATTTCAGGGTGTGTTGCAGCAGCTGACTTTGTTTACCCTTAAGGATACATCCTGTAACTGACTGAACCTCTCATTCTGCTTCATGGGCAGGAAGCTTAATGTAATCCCTTCCAAGTCAGCTAAATCATGTTAATCATTTGTCATATAAATTTCCTTTCTGTTCTGAATCTCCTGAGAGTCGCAATGTGGTGGGAATGGGCTCTTGTCTGAGGGCATCTTGTGCTGCCATTGGCTGATGTGTAGACTTGTCTGATCTTGGGTACTGCCTGCCCTTCAGACTGGCTCCCATGGAGGTGTCCATCATCCATCTGGTCTCTGTTGCACAGGCCACAGTGTGGCTGCCTCCCTTGTCATGACTGTGGGACCCTTTTGAGCCCGCCAGTTCTCTAAGTCCTATCTATGCTCCTGTCCTTTGGGGGCTGATGAGAACTCTCTGTGAAGCTGCCCAATTCCATCTGCTTTTGCTTCCCACCATTCCATCTCTACTCTCCTAATGGCTCAGAGGAACTCCAGATAGATTGAGGGGCACTGGTTCCTCTACTGTAAGACCCTAAGAATTATATGGGGCACCTCTATCATCTTCTCTTAGAGAGATTGAGGGGATGGGAATGGGTGCAGGAAGCCTAATTCCAGTGACTAATTATTTTTCCCTAATTCTCTGATAGGTTAGAAGCATTACATGAGTGGGTAGGCAGGAGCAGAAAAAAATGGATTCTCCATCACTGAATCTTTTTCTAAATCTCTTATACAAAGACAGGTAAACATTGTTCTAAAGCCCAGAACTTGATGACCTTGTTCTTGCATTCTTCCTGGTTTTCCTCATAAAAGTGGGACACATGGTTAAATAAAATTCAGGAGCATGCAAATCAGCGGTTCAGGAACATCCCCACTTTGGTTAAGTGTTGTCATGGGAGCAGATGAAGGCAGTCAAGGGTGGGATGTAGAGCATCTCCTTGAACTTGAGAAATTAGAATCACCTGGAGGACTTATTACAACACAAATTATAGGCCAGATGCTTAGAATTTTGACTCAGTAGGTCTGGGAAAGGGACTAGTAATTTGTAGTTAGGGTTGCCAGATTTAGCAAATAAAAATAAAAGATGCCCAATTATTTGAATTTCAGATTAATAACACTTTTTTTTAAAAAAGAATAAATATGTCCCAAATATTGCATGGGACATACTTATCATAATTATTTTTTTTTTTTGAGACAGGGTCTCACTTTGCCACCCAGGCTGTAGGGCAGTGGCGTGATCTTGGCTCACTGCAACCTCTGTCTCCTGGGCTCAGGTGATCCTCCCACCTCAGCCTTACAAGTAGCTGGGACTACAGGCGTGTGCCACCATACCCAGCTAATTTTTGTAATTTTTTTTTTAAGTAGAGACAGGGTTTCACCATGTTGCCCAACTGGTCTCAAACTCCTGGGTTCAAGTGATCCACCCACCTTGTCCTCCCAAAGTGCTGGGATTACAGGCATGAACCACTGCACCTGGCCTAATTTTTAAAATTGTAAAATGTATCCACTGCTTTTCTGATATTCACATTTAACTGGCTGTCCTGTATTTCTTAAATTGCATTTCTAACAAGTTCCCTGGTAATAAGGATGTTGCTGGTTTGGAGACCACAGTTTGAGCCCCAGGGATAGACTCACATGAATACAGAGCCCTGGGGAATACCAACATTTAACCAGCAGAAGAATTTGAGAAGGAACATAAGTGAGACAGCAGAATTATGAGGGTTTTCTCAGAAGCCAAAGGAAGAAAAAGTTTCAAAAACACAGAATGATCAACAGAGTAGCATGTCACAAAGAGTTTGAGGGAAGCTGAGGACTAAAAAGAAGACATTAGATTTGTCAATGAGGAGGCCTTTGTCAAAGCATTTCAGCACAGTTAAGGGGGCAGGAGCTAGCCTGCAGTGATGAAGAGGGAGCAGAGTGACACGGTAGAGGGGACAGTTTGCATGTGATTATTCAGGGAGTTCATTGTGAAATGCAATAGACGGAGATGTGGAGGCACTTGAAGGTATTTCTTGGTCTCTCTGTCTCCTTAAAAAAAATAAAGGAAATAGAGACAGGGTCTTGCTATGTTGCCCATGCTGGTCTTCAACTCTTGGCCTCAAGTTATTCTCCCACCTTGGCCTCCAAAGTGCTGAGATTATAGGTGTAAGCCTGCATCTGGCCTGAGGGTATTTTTAAATAAGGGAGACCTTGAATACATTTATAGCCCCAGAAGAAGCCAGTAGAGAGGGAAAGTCTGCAGTCACAGAAGAAAGGGAATAGCAAATGGGACACAAAGAGGAGGGGTTACCAGCTGGGGAAGCAGAAAAAAGATGGAACTAGGGAGAAAATCAGGGAGGTTCATAGCTGGACTGAGTGCAGACTCAGCATCTTAGCCTGGGGTAGTCAGACGTCAATTTTACAATTTGTCCCCTAAAGGAGAAAGAACATCCACTTGGAGAGCTCTCTGATGCCCTTGATGGTTACTGTTGATGTAGAAAAATGTGTGTGTGTGTGTGTGTGTGTGTGTGTGTGTGAGAGAGAGAGAGAGAGAGAGAGAGAGAAGGGGTGTTGAAGAGTACATTAAAAAATTCTGTGTGCTTAAACATTTTGGGCTATAATTTATTCTTTGAGCTCCTCTTTCATTTGGTTTCATGGAGCCATTGTCATAATTTTCCCAAGCTGATTTTACTTCCTCAGGGTTTCTTTTTTTTTTTTTTTTTTGAGACGGAGTCTCGCTCTGTCCCCCAGGCTGGAGTGCAGTGGCGTGATCTCGGCTCACTGCAAGCTCCGCCTCCCGGGTTCACGCCATTCTCCTGCCTCAGCCTCCCAGGTAGCTGGGACTGCAGGCATCTGCCACCACGCCCGGCTAATTTTTTGTATTTTTTAGTAGAGACGGGGTTTCACCGTGTTAGCCAGGATGGTCTGGATCTCCTGACCTTGTGATCCACTCGCCTCGGCCTCCCAAAGTGCTGGGATTACAGGCGTGAGCCACCGCGCCCGGCCAGGGTTTCTTGTTCTTGTGGAGTAAACCATTTTAACTTCCATGTTGCTGTTGCAGCCTCTGGTTTTGTGTGTGCCTCTTGCATTTCCTTCTAGGGCTGCAGTTCACTGGCTGTTTTATCCATGGACGTCCCCACCCCAGTCTCCCTGAATGGCCTCTGAAGCTTTCCTCCTTGCCTTTCCCACTTATTTCTGTGTTACATTTTTTAAAAATTGGTTTTTTATATCAAATGACCTAAACCCACCATTAAAGCATGATTTTACTCTGTGGTATTACAACTTTCTCAGACTCAGGCTCTTTGAAAGGTCAGTTTCCGAAACTGTAGTCTCAGGAGCATCTCCGCCCCAGACTCACTTACAGACTTAGTCTTTAGGGGCCTCTGAAAGGGTGAATCTGGCGAGCACCCCAGTGACATTTTTGAATGACACAGCGACCCACTGTGAGAGATTCTGGAAGGAACAGGGAGACCCCGAGGCAGAGCCACCAGGGTCTTTGTCCTCTACTTTCACATGGCTTAGCTGTTCTCTGTTGTGGTCAACCTGGACTGTATCTCCTGGCCCAGAGAACTTGGAGGTGGGTCAGCAACGCAAAGAAGCAGCACGCAGCAAACACGCAGAGGTGCAGGCTCCTCCTGCCAGGCCTGTAGAAAGGGCTGGTAAATGGCGAAAGTAGGCAAGCTATGGTGGATCACGGCACAGCGTTGGGAGGGAAGCTTTGCAGGCAACTTGTCCTCCCCCTGTGGGGAAAGGCTGTGAGGTTTGGAGTTAATATCCATGACATATCCTCACTATTTTAAATGTGAGCTCCAGAATATACTCTCCTCCTCCGTACCCTTTCTCTATTTGTATTTGACTTAATGATTTATATTTAACATATTGGAGGTTTGATGCTTAATTTTAAAATCAAATTAATGTATTATTAATAAATAATATGTACTCAAGATATATTATTCATATATTTGATAAGTGTTACTTAAATGACTAATTGAATGCAATTTAGTAATAAGATTCATTAATATTATTAAGAAATAACATTTGTTAAAAAGTTATTTAATAGCTGGCATTCCATTTCTATGAATATGGATTTAAAATATAGACACTATTTAATTGTGAAACACTATCCATGTTTTCTCACACAATACAATGATTAAGTATTGCATATAAGCATGTTCACATGTATTGATCCCATCCTTGTCACCGCCAGTGTCCCTGGATCTTTCTTTACTCCCCCTCTGCAGGGAAGAAGTGATGGGTGGGGGCCCAACAACAGTCCAGGGAGCACAGGTAGTTTCTGCTCCTGACTCCTTCCCAGTTGGGGAGGGGAGTTTGGGGAAAATAGAATTATGTAAAATTACACACAGATACCACGATATCCATCACTCTGGCCTCTCCTGGAAGTTTCTCGGTGGTATTGACTTTGAAATGGGTGGACCTTAGCACACCCAGAAGTAGAAGGGAGCCGCATAGTGCCCAGACAAAAAGATCTGATGAAGATATGACATCTTTGTGGGATAGGGAGTGCTGATAATCCATTAAATAAACATTCCGTTATTGGATTTGGGAGAGAGTATGTGATCTGTTAAGAGGATCCAGAATGGAGTTCCAACTTGTGTAATTCTGAGAAAAGAATTTCTGGGATTTTTTTTTTTTTTTTCGTCTATCTCACTCTTCTGCTTATTTGAAAGGAGGTGAGAACCTGCACATTTGAAAGAAGGTGAGGACGTATCCCTGTCATTAACTGACACATAACTGACTGTATTTTATGATTGAATTATTGAGAATTGCTGGCAGGTAGTGACAATGAAAGGTAGACTGACTTTTAGTTAGTTGTATTACTTCTTAATAACTTATCTACAGGTAATATGTCTCGTTATTGTCTGCACCTGAGGCTAAAGAGATTTAGTGAACATGTGTGGGACTTCCGTGAAGTTTGCTTACAGGCAACTGACCCAGTTAGGAAGAATAATCCTTCTCACCCTATTTCTTTCCTCCTTACTGCAGCATGTTAGGTGAATATGATGGTTAGGGCTTTAAAAGCCTTCCTGGACCATGAGGGGAACTTGAGGATGGAGGCTAGTGATAGAGTAAAGCAGGAAAAGAGGACTCGGGTCTCTGATCATGTGGACGCACATGAAGGTGACCCCCTACTGAATCACAATCTTGTATAATCCCCTTTTGTTGAGTTGGGATGAAAACTATGACTTACTTCTAGTTGATAGAATATGGCAAAGGAGATGTGAAACCAGTCCCATGATTAGGTTACATTATTTGCAAAGGTGAAGGAATTTTGCAGCTGTAATTAAAGTTCCTAAGCAGTTGACTTTGAGTTCCTCAAAAGAGAAATTATCCTGGGTAAGCCTGAGCTAATCAGGTGAGCCATTTAAAAGAGCACTGACACCTTCTCTGAAATCAGAGGCTGTAAGCAGCAGAGACTCCTTTTCTCTGTTGCTACCTTTGAAGAAACAAGACCACACGAATTTTACAGCTGCAAGGAAATAAATTCTGCCAACAGCCTGAGAGATCCTGGAAGCAGATT
Organism: Homo sapiens; assembly: GCF_000001405.40. Taxonomy (NCBI): domain Eukaryota; kingdom Metazoa; phylum Chordata; class Mammalia; order Primates; family Hominidae; genus Homo; species Homo sapiens. Next base: position 76,905,567 of record NC_000013.11, on the reverse strand, counting down.
CTTCCCTAGTTTCTAGATGAGAATGCAGTCCATTAAACACCTTGATTTTAGCCTTGTGAGACCACCTAACTAAGCCATATGCAGAATCTTGACCTATGGAAACTGTGAGATAAAAAACTGTTTTTTAAGCTGTTAGGTTTGTACTAAGTTGTTATGCAGCATAGAAAACTAATACATCCGTATTCATGTTGTTGCCATGACAGTCCAGGAATGCCTGCCCCCAAGCTTCTTTTATATAGGCAAGAATTAAATTTCTCACTTCTTTAAGCCATTGTGATTTTCAGTTTTCATTTATAGTCAGTTGAACCCAACCTTAACTGATTCATGGCATAATGAAGAAGGATTTATGGAAGATGAATTATTTGTAGTTGATCTTGAAAAGTACCTATAGTTTCAGAAGGTGGAAACTGGCATGGCTGGAGGCAGAAAATAATTTTTATAGGGCAGAATGAATAAGGGAAAGTACTGGGTGTTTTGAAGAAATAAAGAATAATTCAGTTTCACTAGGTTGAGTGAAATTAGGCTGGAAAAGGAGTTTAGAGCCAAACAACACATCCAAAAAGAGTTTGGGGATTATTTTTTAAGCAATGGAGAGCAATGAGGATTTTCTGACCAGGGTGATATTATAGCATGATCAGAACTATGCCTTATTTTAAAAATGCAACATGAGTCAGTCCTCTTTAGGCTGCAAAAACATATCTCAAAGTAGATTTTATCTTAAGGAGGCTTATGGGGAGAACACTGGGGAAGAGCAACAGGAACCAGAAGGTTAGGGACCTTGTTATTACACACTTATTGCTGCAGAGAATGAGCATCACCCCTAACCGCCGCCCACCAAAGGGGAAAGAAGGGACTTCCCTGCCAGTTCTGGTAAAGATAGCATTGCTGGAAGCTGCACTTTGGTTGAGCAACCTTGGAATAATCCCAAGAGCCAAGGGGTGGGATACAGTGATTGGCCTGGGCCTGGCCTAGGTGTGTGTGCATGTGGGATGTCTGCTAATAGATAAAGGAGCATGGGAAATAAAAACAAAATGATTATTGGTGCAATTTGAATTTCACAACTCTGTCTTTTTACATCAAAGTCTCAAGGACAGACGATACACTCATTTACACCCCCACTAAGAGAGTAACATTTTAGTTGAATTGACATTTAATTTAGGAGTTGAAATATACACTAAAGGTTATTCATAGTTTTTAAAAAATTTGTTCCTTCTTACCACTATCAACATCAACTAAACTATTAGCTATATAATTGAAACTAGTTTCCACTATAAAAGTTTTTAGTGCTTATTTATTTACTGCAGGTCCAAGTTTATAAAACACTGTGTTATACTTACGGCATCTCTCACTTGAAGAAAAGGGAATTTCAGAGTAGCTATTTACAGGTACTTACAAGTTTCTGAAATAATCTAAGTGAAATACTGACTTCTTATTTATGAACCCAACACTCTTTTGCTCAAATGTATTAGTAGACTTAGATACATAATTGTTAAATAAAATCTCAGGCTATCTGAGAAACATACTGCTTTAACCGGTACATTTTACCAAGCATACTTCAAGTACTACCTGTGACATGTTTGAAAAGTTTAGGATCTTTTCACAAATTCCTGGATATATTGATCATGTATACATTTTTCTTTGGAAATATTCAAGCACATAAAGCTGACTCCAAATCTTTAATAGACACACTAAAACACCTATCTCAGGAATCAAAGATGCAGCATTTAAAATGCCACAAATGACGTTTCAACAAATGAGGATGAAGTACTTGGAAGACTTCCAGTCAGCTCCCTGGTGGGTGTAGCTGCTGCGTTTCACCACTAGGTGCTACTCTTCCTCCATCACATGTTGAATCTGTAGTCTCAAATGCAAAGTGGATGCAAAGTCAACCTAGTTCCTTATCTCCTGGCTCCCATTTAAACATAAAATATGATTTTATTTCCTGTATTTACTCATTATTATAATAGAGTATTTTTAGAGTGGTTGGCTAAGCACTTAACACTTAGGAAGTGAAATTTATGTCTGCTTTCTATAGTATTACCCCGTGCCGCATGTCAGAAAACTAAAGATTATCAATACCCCAGTTGCTATTATTAATAGAGATTATCAATACCCCATTTGCTATTAACCCAGTTTCTATTACCTAAGGAAGGGTCATAATCTCATTAAAAAATTATTGATATGCCCATGATTTTCCCTGAAAAGGTAGCATATTGTACATGTAAATTACATGCATCTCACATGTAATTTTACATGTGAGATAACAAATCTAAAATTCTAAATTATTAGTTATTGTTACTAATCACCCAATGGTATTATTGATACAGTGTACATCTATGAAAGAGGCAAGGTATGGGATCTTTTTATAGTCCCATGCTAAATGTTTAAGATAGATGGTAGGCAGCTGAGCGATAAAGATCCCTGTTTGTTTAACTTGCCTGGAAGCATTTCTCTATCCTCTGCTTGTGAACACATAGTAAAAAATTTTTGAAGATAAAGAGACAAACTACTTTCATATGTACATCCACTGGGCCCTTTGGAGAGGAGATTTATACATTTTCCTAAGGCATCTGACTTTCACGCACCAATTCTAAATCATTGAGACTTTTAACTAACTTTTATTTTCCCAATGGATAAAACATATGAGACAAGAAACAACTAAAAGTTAAATAAACTGATTTAAAAATCAAAAGCAGCCAGCAGACCAAATTGATGCTTAGAACACATTATTCATTCCTTTCTTCCCTTCAATTCAGCCATCCAGTTTGATTATTCAGTCACTGATATTCATCCATTTATTCATTGATCAAACTTTTCTTGAGTAAGCTCATGTATTTCAGATGCAGAAAGGAAATGAAATGGTATCTATTTTGTGGAAGCTTGAAGTTTAGAGTAAAGGGGGAGCTGGTGAGGAAGAGAGCTGGTCGTACGTATATACAGAAACTTGACACAGTGGTAGCTCATGGGTTTGTCTTTCATTTAGGGGTGATGATAGATATGAATATAAGGATCTCTGGATGATTTTAATGCACCTTGAAGCTAAGTAGACAAAAATGTTTCACCGTCTGAATAGATGTGTTGCTAAACCTACTGATGACTTTGCTATCCATTGCCTGTTAGCCCTCCAGGTAAAATGCTCCCCTCTGCTGACCTTCGTTATGCTATTGCAGCTGGATGTGGCCACAAGACTAAGTTTTGTCCTTTTGATGTGACAGTGTTGGGCAGGACTTCCGGGACAGGTGGGTTGCCAGGTGTTGCCCGCTTTCCTCTTGACCATCAGCACATGCCATAACTGTGACTGGTGAGATCTATTCCCTTTCATTCTAATTGGGTCAGGGGAAATGTGGGAATAAAACCAACACTTAGTTTTTGTTTTACTCGTATCTGTCGAGTCTAGTTTCCAACTTAAGGACCCATTCTGATGATAGAAACAAGAACCTGCTTCTCAACTTTGGAATTAGGAAATTAGTCTTCAGCCAGACAGAAATAGATAGAAATGACATAATGATTAAATCTAGCAATTTGACATCCTTAACACAAGCAAGAGTACAAGTCACCAATAAAGGTTACCTTTGAAGGTCAAAAGAGAATTTAAGTGAAAGGTGTATTGATCAATCCAGGAGAAGCTGAAAAGGCTCTGTTCTCACAGTGGACTCTAAGCTACAGGATTCAGACGTGTGTTGTTAATAAAGGAGGTTAAAGTGGTAGTGAGACAGAGACAGCTAAGGCTGGAGGTGGGAAACAATCCTCCCATTATCCCCTCTTGGTTAGAAACCCCATTATATTCTCTATTGGCTTCCTGGACCCCTCCTTTGAGGAGAAAATAATATTGAAGAGTAATCTGATGTCTTTAAGTGCTATTTTGAGAAAGCCCCACTCACGTATCTCCTCATTTTCCTCCTTCCACAGCTTGGATTCATTCCATCATTTTAATAATTCCCTTGTCTACCCCTTCAACTCCCTACCTGGGTAAATCTAACTTTTAGCTTCACCTGAGTAGCTGAAAACAGCTGGAGAAAAAAACATGTGCCTTTTGGTCTTCCTGTATGGGATGCATTTTTATTCCTATACCCTGCTGATAGGACAATCAGAGAGTTCATGCACTTTTCTTCTCTTGATTGAACATCTGGAGGTTTGATGAGAACCATTTAAGTATCTAACATATGTTAATATATATTTGGCCTTCAGTGCTCTGATGAAGCAGCCAGGAATAATGATTTGGTCAGCTGAAATGCTGTCTAACTATAGGGAAAATATTATTCTTAAATTTAAAGGTGGTTAGGAGTTATTTGAAACTTACAACATCAAATAAATCATTATACAAATTATTTAAAGATATTCAGTTAAAGCAGGTTGAATATGCATTCATTACTTTGTCTATGGTACTAGTTTCTCCTTGGCAGTCTTCCTATGTGGTATAAAAGAAAAACTTAACTAAGCCTCAGTTATTTTCTTAATCAGTCAAGTTCATTCAATGAATATTTGTTAAGTGGATTATGAATGTGATAAACCCAGGCTTGTTTCTTCAATTGTAAAATTTGGTTAATATCTGCATCCTCTGCTGAAGATAGGAACTCTGTCTGCCTTAGACATATCTGTATCCCAGCACCTAACATATTGCATTACATGTGGAAGGCGCTCAAGAAATGGAGATGGCTACTTCCATTGACCAAAAGAGCATCCTTGAATATGTAGAGCAGTTGAGGATAGGACAGTATCACTTCTAGCAAGAAGGATCAGAAGGATGATGTAAAAGGGATCAGATAATTTAAACACGTATAAAGTTCCTAACCATAGAACAACTATCCCAGTGTGCTGTGGCATCTTGTCTTATATTAAATTTGGTAGGGTAAAGTTAAAATTGTAGACTATGTCAATGTCACAATTAGACAGTTCCTGAGATGAACAAAAGCTTTTTCTTTCTATCTGTAGTATCTCTATATATCTGTAGATGGGATATTTGTAAACAATTTTGAAAGCAGGATGATAGACTCCTTTGGAGAATGGCCCAAGGGTAAATAATTAGAGGGCTTATGAAAATCTGTTTGCATTATTTTTTTTAGGTTTATAGACTTTGTTTCTTAGGGCAGTTTTAGTTTTACAGAAAAACTGAACAAAAAGTATAGCAATCCTATATACTCTTCTCCTCTTCCCCGCAGTTTCCTTTATTATTAGTATCTTGCATTGGTATGGTACATTTGTTATGATTGATTAACCAATATGAATCCATTGTAATTAACTAAAGTCCACATTTTGTATTAGAAATCACTCTGCATTGTACAGTTCTATGGGTTTTGCCAAATGCATAATGACCACTTCAGTTTTTATCCATCATAAGAACTAAATGATACAAGGTTTTGGTAGAATGAATAGGCGAGAAACCAATATAATTAAAAAATCAGTATGTGCAATAAAATGCTTTAAACTATGTGGAATGGTGCTATATTATTTAACACATTTTTACTTGCACTGTAACATACTTATAAAAGTAGATATATTAGTAAATGTACACTGGTTATACTTGTATGGTTGAATTTATTGAAATAAATGAACATTGCCTTTATATTTAGTCAAAGATTTAACAGCAGGAAAAAATTATGTATTAAAAAAAATCTGCTCATCACTGGGTATTCAAGGATCTCAGACATGATTGATCTACTGTTTGGCACAGGTCCTGAGACATAGGGAAGATACAGGACATACTAGCTATTGGTTATGATTATAAGTTCTCTAACATGATAGCTGTTAAATCAAGTTTGATCCCTGAAATTGGGAGGGAAGATTAGAAAAAAATGCCTATTTTTGCATAAGCAGTTGGTGAGGAAAATTGTTCTCTTACGTTAGAAAGAAGTAGAAATCATCTAATGCAATTTCTCAGCCCAAATCATAAGTCCCTTCTGTGTTGCCTGTCTGTAGCTTAGATCTACAGCAGTGAAGTCAACCCAGTTCTTGTCTGATATGTTTTGGCTCTGTGTCCCCACCCAAATCTCATTTTGTAGCTCCCATTCCCACATATTGTGGGAGGGACCCAGTGGGAGATGATTGAATCATGGGGGTGGATCTTTCCCATGCTGTTCTTGTGATGGTAAATGGGTCTCATGAGATCTGATGGTTTTAAAAACAGGAGTTTCTCTGCACAAGCTCTCTCTTTACCTGCTGCCATCCATGTAAGATGTGACTTGCTCCTCCTTGCCTTCTGCCATGATTGTGAGGCCTCCCCAGCCACGTGGAACCGTAAATCCAGTAAAACTCTTTCTTTTGTAAATTGCCCAGTCTCATGTATGTCTTTATCAGCAGCAGGAAAATGGACTAATATAGTAATTTGCTACCAGGAGTAGGGTGTTACCGAAAAGATACTTGAGAATGTGGAAGTGACTTTAGAACTGGGTAATACGCAAAAGTTGGAACAGTTTGGAGAGCTCAGAAGACAGGAAAATGTGGGAAAGTTTGGAACTTCCTAGAAACTTGTTGAATGGCTTTGACAAAAATGCTGATAGTAATATGTACAATAAGTTCCAGGCTGAGGTGGTCTCAGATGAAATGGGGAACTTTTTGGGAACTGGAGCAAAGATGACTCTTGCTATGTTTTAGCAAAGAGACGGGCAGCATTTTGCCCCTGCCCTAGAGATTTGTGGAACTTTGAACTTGAGAGAGATGATTTAGGGTATCTGGCAGAAGAAATTTCTAAGCAGCAAAGCATTTAAGAGATGACTTGGGTGCTGTTAAAAGCATTTATTTTTATAAGGGAAGCAGAGCATAAAAGTTTGGAAAATTTGCATCCTGACAATGTGATAGAAAAGACAATCCTATTTTCTGAGGAGACATTCAAGTCAGCTGCAGAAATTTGCATAAGTAATGAGGAGCTTAATTTTAATCCCCAAGACAATGGGGAAAATGTCTCCAGGGCATGTCAGAAGTCTTCACAGCAGCCCCTCCCATCACAGGCCTGGAAGCCTAGAGGGAAAAAGTGTTTTTTTGGGCCAGGCCCAGGGTCCTCATGCTGTGTGCAGCCTAGAGACTTGGTGCCCTGCATCCCAGCCACTGCAGCTATGGGTGAAAAGGGCCAACACAGAGCTCACAACACAGAGCTTAGAGGGTGCAAGCCTCAAGCTTTGGTAGCTTCCATGTGGTGTTGATTCTGCGAGTGCACAGAAGCCAAGAATTGGGGTTTGGGAACTTGTGCCTAGATTTCAGATGTATGGAAATGCTTGGATGTCCAGGCAGAAGTTTGCTATGGAGGGGGTCCTCATGTAAAATCTCTGCTAGGGCAGTGCAGAAGGAAAATGTGGGGTAGGAGCCCCCATACAGAGTCTCTACTGGGGCACCACCTAGTGGAGCTGTGAGAAAAGGGCCACCATCCTCCAGACCCCAGAATGGTAGGTCCACTGACAGCTTGCATTATGTGCCTGGAAAAGCCATAGACACTCAACACCAGGCTGTGAAAGCAGCCAGGAGGGAGGCTGTACCCTGCAAAGCCACAGGGGTGAAGCTGACCAAGACTATGGGAACCTACTTCTTGCATCAGTGTGACCTGGATGTGAGACATGGTGTCAAAGGAGATCCTTTTGGAGCTTTAAGATTTGACTGCCCTGCTAGATTTCAGACTTGAATGGGCCCTGTAGCCCCTTTGTTTTGGCCAATTTCTCCCATTTGGAATGGCTGTATTTACTCAATGCCTGCATCCCTATTGTAGCTAACAAGCAACTAACTTGCTTTTGATTTTACAGGCTCCTGGGGGGGAAGGAACTTGCCTTGTCTCACATGAGACTTTGAACTATGAACATTTGAGTTAATGCTGAAATGAGTTCTCTCATTTCATTCATGTGGCCTAGAAATATAAAAAAAATTTTCTTGTGTCATGAATGCATAAAATGTATGTCAATACAAGCCTATTAGATGATTTGCTACCATAAAATTTACACAAAGCTATTATAAAAAGGTAAATTGCATCAAAATTTATGTATATACTTACTGACCAAACATGGCACCACTGCAGTTGAGAGAATTATAAACAAACATGCAGTATTAAATTATAACTGCACAAAATTAACTGTAGCACATACTATACTACTATAATTTCATAGCCACCTCCTGTTGCTATTGTAGTGAGCTCAAGTGTCAAAAGTATCCACTTAAAATGCCATGTAATGCTACTCATCTCTGCATGAGCAGGTCATAACTCTGGTAAATTATGTGTCACAATGAAAAGTGATCTCTCATGTTTCCTGTGTATTTTTTTTAACATGTTTTAATGCAATAGCATAAACCTTGAATAACACATGACACCCATACAAACTGCCACTAGTGATGCTGGAAATGCTCCTAAGAAGCAGAAAAAAGTCATGACATTACAAGAAACAGTTAAATTGCTTGGTGTGTATTATAGATTGAGGTCTGCAGCTGTGGTTTCATTTCAAGATAAATGAATCCGGTATAAGGACCATTGATAAAAAAAAAAAAAGGAAAGAAAGGAGAGGAGAGGAGAGGAGACTCATGAAGCCACTGCTGCAGCTATGCCAGCAGGCATGAAAATCTTGGACTTTTTGCAAAATACCTTTTTATCTTGAATTGAAAATGCAGCTTTTCATGTAGATACAGAATTGTTATAAGAAAGGCATATCTATAAACTCTAATGTGATTCAAGAAAAAGCAAAGTCATGGTATGACAACTTAATAAAGGAAGGTGAAGGATCTAAAGCTGAAGAACTTAATATCAGCAAAGGATGGTTTGATAATTTTAGGAAGAGATTTGTTTTAAAAATATGAAGATAACAAGGGAAGCTGTATCTGCCAACCAAGAAGCAGCAGACGAGTTCCCAGACACCATTAAGAAAATCATTGAGAAAAGAAGGATATCTACCTGAACAGGTATTTAATGCAGACAAAAGTGCTCTATTCTGGAGGGGGCAGGGAATCCACATAGGACATTTCTTAGTAAGGAAGATAAGCAAGCACTAGGATTTAAGGAAGGAAGGGATAGGTTACCCCTACTGTTTTGCACAAATGCAATTGGATTTATGATTAGGACTGCCCTTTTTATACAGCTGCTAACTCCCAAGCCTTGAAGGGAAAAGGTAAACACCAGCTGCCAGTCTTTTGGCTGTACAAGAAGAAGAGCTGGACAATGAGAACACTTTTTCTGGATTGGTTCCATCAGTGACTTTGTCCCTGAAGTCAGGAAGTACCTCATCAATAAGGGACTGCCTTTTTAAAGTTCTTTTAATACTGGACAATGCTCCGGCCACCTAGAACCCTGTAGTTCAACAATGAACACATTGAAGCAGTCTACTCACCCCCAAAGACAATGTCCCTAATTCAGCCTTTAGGTCAGGGGGTCCTAAGGACTTTTCAGACTCATTAAACATGTGCTATGGTCTAAATGTTTGTGTCCCCTTCAAATTCCCATGCTGAAACCAAATCCCCCATATAATGGTATTAAGAGGCGGTCTTGGGAGGTGATCAGGTTCTCATGAATGGGATTAGTGCCCTGATAAAAGAGGCCTGAGGGAGCTTGTTTGCCTCTTCCACTATGTGAGGACATAGAGAGAAGGAGCCATCTGCACACCAGGAAATAGACCCTCTCTAGACACCTAATCTGCTGATGATTTGATTTTGGACTTCTCAGCCATGAGAACTGTTAGACATACATTCCTGTTATTTATAAGCCACCCAGTTTATGGTATTTTGTTAGAGCAACGTGAACAGACTAAGACAAGCTGCCACACTGCCTCCAGTAATACTCTCTTCTAAGCTATTCTATGCTAAAATTTAAAAAATCTTGCTATTACATTGTTTTTGGATTCTTCACAAGCTTGCTTATACTCCTTCAAATATACTCTTGCCTATTAAGATAACTCTTAAGCTTGTGATGCCTAGACTTAAAGATATGTGAATGCTAGGTGTAGTTTTACTGTCAGTTATTGTGTTTTTACTATCACATCCTCAGCTTGGATCTGTAAGAGGAAAGATTTGACATAAATAATTTATAAGGTCCTTTCCAATGTTGAAAAGCGATTGTATTTGGTGTTTGTACCTGTGCATGTTACAGTCATGCCACTGTATTGGCTTCTTAAACTTGCAGTAGATGCAGACTCCCAGGTCACTTTTCATGTAAACTGCTCGACTGTGTCATAAGCAATTGCATAACTTTACCTTTATACTTACTACATCCTCTCTTATTTGCTTCTCTTTCTTGCTGAAACCTATGTGGATAATTTTGAAAGTTAATTCCATATTTGTTTGGTTAGTTAGCCCACTAAGCTCTGTGTAACTATACATTTTATTAGCATAATTCCCACATGTTAATTTAATTTACTGATAAAAATTCAATAGAAAAAAGCTAAAACAGAATCTTTCTCCTAACCCGTTCTCTTCAGTTACGCATTGTTTCATTCATCAATAATCTTTGAATGTCTGTTTTTATCAACCATGTCTCCATCTAATTGATATTATTGTCCAGCACACATTTCTCTATCTTATCCAAAAAGATCATGAATGAGCTGTCAGATACCTTGCCAAAATATAATATACTTATGTCTACAGTATTATCACAATGCTGAGATATTAGCAATGCTGAGGAAAAGTGTTTTGTTTGACCTGACTTACTTGAGGTCAGCTTTGTATAGTATCTTTCCTGTTTCTCTAGAAACCTCTGACTCATGCAGGAAGGTAACTTCCCTCCCTATGATCTTCACCTGTGGCATGTCCCTGCTATTTTACTAGTCACTTACTTTGATATTGTACAGGTTCTCATGGGCCAAGGACCTGTGGAACCATCCATAACTTCTGGCAAGATCAGGCACATAGCAGGTGCTCTATAAATATTTGAAGGGATGTTGAATGCAATGTAAAGGGGAGCTAAACTTGCACTGTTGATACTTCTTCCAGTAAAATCTGTTGCAGCCATGCAAAACTTCTGTTTCCTTTGCAGTGTGCACACGTTCTTCCTGTTGTGGAGCCACTGTCGCCTGGAAGCTAGGGGGAAACACCATAGCTGTGGTTTGGGATGGTGCTCTTGCCCTCTTTAGGCTCAGTTCCTCAACATTTCATGGCTTAAGTCCCTGGGTTTAGAACAGAGAAAAAGTCATTGTCTTTGGATTTTAAGGATACCTGGAGTTTTTAAGGCCCTCTTTAGAACACTTCTGCTCACCCCTACCCAGCCTTTACCTCCTAGAGGTTGCCAATAGCTGAACTTTTAGTTACGGAGATAAAACTATGCCAACTGTACTTTGAGTTGCAAAGTCTAGGATGAGAAATAAGCCCTGGAATTGAGGGTTCCCAGCTGTCTAGATTTTGACTAAATTTTCCAACCAGAGAGTAAATTTGTGTTAGATGTGACTGACTCCTAGGAAGAAATGGGGAACTGCTGAGGAAGTGCCATTTACCCTGTCCATTTTAGTTACTGTTAAAGAGACATCATCTAAGAGAGAGTGATAAACAGATTGAAGAATGAGGTAAGCAAACTCACCAAGGAACTCTGAATTATAGAAGTGCAATGGCAATGGGGGAATGAAAGGGTGGGAGCAGAAACCTACATGCATGATGTCATGATGTATCCGTTATGTGCCAGACATTGTGGAAGAAAATGCTTTGTATCATCTCATTTAATCTCACAAGAGTCCCATGAGGTTGGTATTTTTGCTCCATTTTAAGATAAATATCTGAAGTTTAGAATATTTAAATAACTATGACCAATATCTGATTTTAAATAAAACCAGGAGAAGGATACAGGTTCATCAAACTCTAAAGTGTATGATTTTCCCATCTATATTTTACTGTAGGAAAAGAAATGTATTTTTTAAAAGTAAATTATACCAAGTAATGTAAATTTAAAGTTTAGCATGTTTTGAGGCAATTTTCTTACTGTGAAATATTATGCATATTTCTTTAGTAACTGGAAAGCAAATTGGGGAAATATATTTTTCCCCCTTAATTATATCAAATAAATGATCTTACAATTACATAAGAAATCAACCATTACAGTCTAGCCAGTGGCTTGGCTTCTTGTGCAAACCTCACAATAAAATATGCAGACTTTCTGGAACCACATATTAAAATCTCTGCAGTTGAATCAGCCCTTCTTTCTAAGTAACCTAAACTCAATGCTATTCAGCATATTAGAGAACTCTAGGGATGAGATCTTTAAAACCCAATGTCAAAAGGTGAATACCCGATGATCATCACCTTAGTTTCATTCATGAAAACTGGCTTTGTCCTAATTTATTTTCAGGCATGTGGGTCTGTCCTGCAGTGAGGTGCCCTGTTTTAGAGCCCTAGAAAGATATCAACTACAACTTTAACATAAGTATAAAATAATAGGGTGATATTCTTGTGTAAATTGGCTTTGAAGAAAATTTCCAAACAAATGTACCAAAAATGGTGAGTGATTCCAGCATCCCTCAAAGGAGTATATAGTCTTCAAGGTGATTATTTTGAATGACAACCTTCATTTGGGTGTTAAATGGAGCTGATATGGCTGCTGAAGAGTTCAAAGAGCATGGGATATGAAATCAGGAAGCATCCACGTGCATCCCAGCACTGCATCCCAGCCACCTGAGAGGAGGTGTGAGTCACCTAACCTTTTTGAGTTTCTTTCTTCATTTGGAACACAGGT